>NC_000010.11:11373636-11525151 GCF_000001405.40 Homo sapiens | reverse complement strand
GGTGAGTTATATTAATAAATCAACAGAGTTAAATGCAAATGGATAATTTGTATTTTAAAAATAATTATAAAACATTTCATTCTGTACCAGCGCATTTTAAAAATAAATAGCAATTCGAACTTTAGTGTTATGCAGCCTGAAAATTAGCCTTGTAAAGAAATGCCATTCATCTTCCTTATAGTTATAAATGTATTCATAATATTGCTTCTCAAAATTAATTCCATTCATCCTGAATATGTTATATAAAGAGAGAGGTCTAGATCACATAAAGTAAAGCAGTTAAAATAATTTGGATCCTTAAAAACATCCTTCACATGATATGAATCTGTCTGTTCTGGTTCTGGTATTGTTTAATCGGTTTCCTACAGGCTAGAGACTTCTATTCATCTTTATACTTTAGTTCCATGCAATTTAAGGATTAACTAAATTTTCATTCAACTGTGCTCTTTTCCAATTTCATTTATTATAAATAGGAAAAAAAGCCAGGACTTTTTATTTTATAATACATGATTAAATTTTGAAGGAAAAACATTCGTTTTTTGTATAGTTCACAGTAATGTACAGTCCTCTGACCTTATTTTCTCCTTTTCTTTTTTTCTGAGTCTAGAATTTATTTTGCTGTATTATGTTTTTCTGAGAGTAAAACCAACCAACCAACAGACAGAAACAGTTCCCAGAGCTGGAGAATATGTGCTCTTCTTGTGGCTTTGCTGTTCTCTGGTCATGTAGCCATTTTGTGCTTCATTTTTAAAACAGGAATTAGTTTACATACTTTTTTTATGTATCTTCAGGTGTATTTGAGGCTTTGAAAAAGTAAAATATAAGAATACTTTATAAAGTTCTGGACAAATATTAAGTGTTATTATACCTAATGACATTAGCTATCTGAAATGTTCTTCTGAGTAGTTATAATCAGAAGACTGTTTTGTTTTTGTCGAGACAGGTTTTGCCCTGTTTCTCAAACTCCTGGCCTTAAGCAATCCTCCCACCTCTATAATCAGAAGCCTTTGAACTTCACTAGAATAACAGCAATATTTAACTATGATGGAAATACTGTTTTTAAATTAAACTTCCACCCCTACTTTTTTAAAAAATCAAACTTGGCTACGCACGTGACAAGAAATGATTGCATATTTGTGTGGGTTAGTGTGCAGATCTGGGGTATGAAGGACAATTTAACCATTAAGACTGTTAACACCAGTGGGTTCCAAACTTGCCTGCACATTAGAATCAGCTGGGAAACTGTTTAAATAGATTTCCATGTCTTTCCTAGATTTTGATTCAAAAGATAGGAGGCACCTCAGCTGATTTTGACCTTCCCAAGTGTTTCTGGTGGGAATGAACCACTGTACCAGATTTTTTATTTTTATTTTTTAAATCATAAGATGGTCCAAATATGGTATAAAATACATAGGGAAACCTGTGCATTCCAAAATGGATCTATTAATTACCTAAATTTTCTTTTCTTATTGCTTAAAACAACATGAGCGGGGCCCTAGAAACAAGAGGTACTTTTTTTTAAACTGGCAAATGCTGTATTTGGCTTTTTAGCATTATGGATTCCAATGTAAAATTTTAAGTGCACAAATACATTATTAACATTTAAACACACCCTTGTGATCACACATACACAGTCCATTAATTTGGGGGAATTGAAAACATACCATCAAGTTAAAATGAATTTTAAGAAAAAACTACATTCACAAATCTGAAAGGTATACAAAACTGAAATTGTAAAATAATGAATATAGGTGCCAGCTAAATTTCATGAAATATGCCTGCAAATGTGGATCCAGTGATTTTTCCACACTTGTGATAGTTGGGTGGGAAGACATTCCCCAGTGAAAGCATCCAGTCTCTCTGACTCTTGTCTATTGAGAAGCATTTCTAGGTATAAAACCATGTTTGAACTATTACAGCCATGAAATAAGTGATTCTGACCCAGGAGCCTAGTCTGTATTTGGCAATCTGAATATTGCAATCAGTTCTTTTGTATTTATGTTTTCACTGTCTGTGCTAAGGTCCATTTGGCTCTAGTGGGGAAAAAGTGCAAATATTTATTGTGCACTTACTGTGTGCTGAGCACTGTTCTGTGCTCTTTACATGGAATAACTCAGTTATTCCCCTGAAAAGCTCTTTGGGGTAGGTACTGTTTTTGTCTTCCTCTTTTTAGGCGATGAAACCGAAGCACAGAGGTCAAGTAACTTGCCGATGTTGTATTGACAGTGAGCGTCAGCTCTAGGGTGTGGACCTTGGCAGTCTTCCTGCAGAACTTGCATTCTGAACTGCTACAGTATGCTGCCTGTTGCTGCTTTCTTGTATTTTAAATAAGAGAAATACAGAACAAGTGCTTTGAAATGCCTAGAAAGAAATTTAAAGGGGGAAAACGAGGACCTAAAGAGAAGGATACTGTTTGAAATGAACACTGCTATTGAGATACGTACTAAGATAGCTAAGCTCACCGCTTTTTAAAAAATAAAGTAGATTGGTACTCATTCTCATACTTTTTATCACACTAATTTTATTTACTCCATGATGTGGTCCTAAAACAGACAACACAGATGAACATAATGAAGCATAGAAATGGATATTAGGGTAATGTCAAGCCTTATTAAATTTCACCAAAATCAGTGATTTTTAGTACAATGAGTAGTTTAAGTAAAACATTTTCTCCAGACATTGTTACTAGTGGTTTTTATTGCTTGTCACCACAGACCGGAGTTTTATGCGCTATTGAATAAAATCATTTGGTGTAAGCATGTAGATATTATTCCCTGTCACACCTTGATCAAAAGAGCATTTTTTTCTACTGTCTTAGTTCTTTGTAATTTTTGATTCATTCTGCAATGAAATTGGGTTTTAAGTGTCAATGTTAATACAATAAAATGGCAAAAATAACTTTGCAACCTTTGTTGCCTGAGTTTATATCTAATTACAGTTTTAGAAACTTAAATTACCTGTTATTATATGTGGAGTGACAGTAATTAACAAATATAGAACAACTTGGTTTTGGAATAGATTACACAATAAATATGAAAGCTGTTGCCAAACCAACTGAGCTCTGCCAGATGAGCAACCTCTTTGTTTAGTACTCAGCAGTGAGGCATTCTCCCCAGTGTGTGCCATGATGGAGTTAAAGCTGGAGAATAGAGAAACAGAGCTTGTTTAAGGAAGAAGTTGGAGAACTTTAACATTTTAATCAAAAATAGTCACTGCTAGTCTACTTAACAAAGAATGTTTGGTATTTGGATAATGATAGATAATGTATTTAGGTCACAAGTTATTAATAGAAGAATTAGAAGGAAGTCATACCAGAAATAAGATAAAATTAATACCAAGCTTCAGATTTTCAGCTACTTATCAAAATGTGTATATTTATAAAAGCAGACTCTCTGTAGTTTACTGTGACTGTATAAAATGACTGTATATGATATGCAGAATAAAGGTGGGTTTGTTTTTAAAGAGTATCATTGGCCGGGCGCGGTGGCTTACGCCTGTAATCCCAGCACTTTGGGAGGCCCAGGCGGGCGGATCACGAGATGAGGAGTTCAAGACCAGCCTGGCCAACATGGTGAAACCCCATCTCTACTAAAAATACAAAAAATTAGCCAGGCGTGGTGGCGCGCTCCTATAATCCCAGCTACTTGGAAGGCTGAGGCAGGAGAATCGCTTGAACCCAGGAGATGGAGGTTACGGTGAGCGGAGATCGCACCGTTGCACTCCAGCCTGGGTGACAGAGCAAGACTCTGTCTAAAAAAAAAATTTAAAAAAAAATATATAAATAATATATATGTATATAATATAATAATATATAATATATATTTTATATATAATAAAAATATTATATATATAATTTTGATTACAAAGGCTTGAGAACTCTTTCTACCAATCCTATAAATTTTGACTGGCTTAAATTTAAACTTAGATAAAATTTACTTTAAAAACAAAAATAAAATTTAGTCAATATAGTCAACTTATTAATTTTAACAAGTTAACTTTTAAGTTTCCAAATGAAAGTTCATCTTATAGTTAACATAAATACTCCACCTAGCTGTTGAGAGGTTATAGGCACATAAACTCCGATTAGTAATACTTTCAAAGTTTAAGAGTAGATGAACAATGTATCCAGTTAAGGTCTCTCTCTTTCCAGAGATGGCTGTCTTATGGTTTTCCCTTACTGTATTTCTGTGAGATATAGGTACTTGCTATCAGCTTGGTGTTTTCTTAAAGCAGCCTTTAGGTGCTCTTAAGCCCTTGTTCTCTAAAGCAGGGTTTGGCAAACATTTTCTCTAAAGAGCCAGATATGAAGGATCTTTGGCTTTGTAGGTCATACGGTCTTTGTCACAACTGCTTAACCCTGCTGTTGCAGCATGAAAACAACCAGAGACAATACATTCATGGCAGAGTGTGACAGCGTTCCATTAAAACGTTACAAAAATGCACAGTGGGCCAGATTTGGCCTATGCACCATAGTTTGCTGACCTAAAGGAATTCTCTGCATTCACCCAGATTGTGGTCCTTCTTTCTTCTCCTCCACTTGAAGGATATTTAGGAGGCAAGGTAAGGATGCATCCATGCCTGCAGGCATGTGTTCATCCTCCTGTTCATATCTTCATTCAGCACCGTTTACTGAGCTCTTCCAGCATGCCAACTTACGTATTCTGGGCATTACAGGGAGCTCTTGGTAAGCAGCAGCAGTGTCATCCTCGGAAGGGTGTGAAATTTAAGCATATGCCGGCACAGAGACTTGAGGGGGAAAAGCTCTGTGGAGATTGGTATGCACACAGCAGATTCTCCATGAAAAGTTTTAGATATGGAGAAATCATGCCAGAACATCTGTATAGGAAAGCTGGACCACATATTTACTCTATCATCCATCTATGAGGTCTGAAGACTTTTTTATTTGTAACCAGTTTCGTTTCTTCTTGAGAATCGTTTTCTCAGCCTCCGTCCCTTTTCTTCATATACTCCTGCATGATCTGAGATCTTGTCTGTATGAAGTTGAACCCACTGAATTAGTGCTAAAAGTCTCTCGACTAAGTGAAAATGTTAGTTGTATTATCTGTGAAATGAGAGATTTGGACTCTAAGATCTCTTTTGGCGGTTATTCTTTTGTGTTAGTTTTGTGGCTGTAGTAATTGTTCACCTAAGGACTCCTCAGAGTAGAAAAAGAGTGCCTTTGAAAATACCGTACTGGTGAATACCGCTCTATCATGCTCTTCAAGATGATATATTATTTGATCTCAAGAGAAACTAAGGCAAGAATATAAACATAGTGTTGCCAAAACAGTACTACTGAGAAAGCTACTCAAAGTGCATAACTTTGTTTATGGATAGCATGTGGTTTTTATATTACTGACAGTTAATACAAGAATCTCAGAATATTTTATATTAGAGATGATATCACAAATATACTGTGTCAGAAATGAACTTGATCTTTTAGTGTATATTTAAAAAATAATCTCTTGAAATTTTGACAGTGAAGCATTCTTATTTATTTATTTATTTATTTGTTTATTTTGAGATGGAATTTTGCTCTTCTTGCCCAGGGTGGAGTGCAATGGCGCGGTCTCAGCTCACTGCAACCTCCACCTCCCGGGTTCAAGCGATTCTCCTGTGTCAGCCTCCCAGGTTGCTGGGATTACAGGCACCTGCCAACATACCTGTTTAATTTTTGTGTTTTTAGCAGGGACAGGGTTTCACCATGTTGGGCAGTCTGGTCTTCAACTCCTGACCTCAGGTGATCCACCTGCCTCAGCCTCCCAAAGTGTTGGGATTACAGGCGTGAGCCACCGCACCCAGCCAAGCATTCTTTGTTGTACTGAATAAAGTTTTCTCTTTAAATTCACAAGTCTGTTGGAGGCAGTTTTTTCCTTATGCTATTTTTTTAAACAATCATTGATTATAGACCATAGTTTGAACCAAGAGTGGAGGTGGTGGTCTAAAGCAGAGGGTGGCAAGCTGGGGCCTGTGGAGCAGATCCAGCTCACCACCTATTTTTGTAAAAGTTTCGTGGGAACAGAGCCACACTTGATTTACGTAGTGTCTGTGGTTGCTTTTGTACTACAACATCAGAGCTATCGTTGTGAAAAAGACGGTATGGCCCAGAAAGTCTCAAATACTTACCGTTTAAATATTTATCTTGCGAGAAGAAGTTTGCTCACTCCTAGTCTGGAGCAGTGCTGTCCAGTGGACCTTTCTGCAGTGATGGAAATGTTCTATATCTGTACCGTTCAATATGGTGGCTTCTAGCTACGTGACATTCATGCACTTGAACTGTGCCTAGTGAGACTAACTCAGTGTTAAACTAAATTAAATTTTAATGTTAATTAGATGCTTTTTATTAATAAATGTGGCTTGTGGCTACTGGTGACAGTGCAGGGCTGGATTTTGAAGATAGGTGGCCCTGTGGTTCTAGAGTAGCTATCATTTCATATTGAATTCAATGAATGGAAGCCTATGTAACTCTTGTGATGACAAATAAATATTGTATGTCATATGTATCTATAAGTATATAAGCTTTTAAAAGTTTGTTTTGATTTCAACAATTTCATATAATACTGTTTTTCCTCTGCAGTGAGGAGGAGCTCCCAGATCATAATGTGGCTGTGGAACGGGTAAGTCCTGCTCTTGATGTATTTACAGTTACTGGTGAATTGCCTTTATTAGAAGAATAAAATTGACCACCTTTGTGATTTTAAGTGCCATATTATATGGGAATGGTACAGTCATTGTTAGATTTTGGACCTCATTATGCCACTGTAAGATAATAGTTAATGGTGAAATAATATTAGGAGATTTTAGGAGATTCTGATAGGTAGTTGGCAGACTTCATTCTAGACTGGCAGGTCCTGAGCTAGGCGTGCTTCAGAACAGAGAGGCTTTGAGAGCACAGCTGCCCAGCTCCCACCTCAGTCTGTGAAATCAGCCTCTCTGGGTAGGTAATTTTTAAAGGCTTCACAAGTGATTCTCATGTACCCTGTGGCAAATAAAGCACCATTCTAAGACCAGCAGTTCTTTGAAATGTGACTGTTCCAGGAGATTTTAGTAAATTTCTTACAACAACCAAAATCGTTTTCTGTGGGTCAGTATTTTAGTATTTTAAGTACTTAGAGAAGTGTTACATAGTAAACTTGTCAACATTTAAAAATCTTTCCTCGTTATACATAGCAAGGAACTGGCTCCACACCCAGGCATGCGTTTGAAGTAGTGACGGAATGTTTTAAGGTTGTCCGAAATCTCCCTTTTCCTCCCCACTGTTTCTGTACCAGAAAATGAACTGTAGAATGAAAGTGGGGGTATTGACTGGGATTATTATCAGTTCATGTATGTTTGATGAGGACAAGGGGCTGAATTTCAGGTAATGAAGGTGAAATTGGAATTGGAATTTGAAAAATATTTTAGAAAATCTTCCTGGGATCAAACTTTTCTGAAAATCAAAACTGTAGCAAAACCTTAAGATGTAGATGAAATTGCCATTTTATGTATATAGAGAACCCTATAGGCAGACCTGCAGTTGAATTCTCTTGTGACTGTCTGGTTCTCTCTCAGTATCATAACCTAGAGGTTTCAGCAAATGAATACCTTTGTTTTAATATCTACATAATTGAATAGCAACTATGTATCAAGCACTGGCCTAGTTCTGCATAGAATGCTAGGATTAAATAAGACATAGTTTCTGCCTTGGAGAAGCTCACATCCAGTGACTACAGGTAGGAGACGACTGGTGGCTTGGTGGGGCCATAGTATATGTGAAATGCAGTGGTAGTGCAGGTGGAGGGGAAAGGCAGATTCTTTGTAGCTGAGGAATGACTGAGAAGGAAATAATGAGTAATAGTGAGAAGTTGGTAAATGCCCCTGTGAAGTTTGTGGCAGTCCACCTTGAATGGGAATGTAAGGATTTGTTCTCACACTCTGACTATGATCTCTCTTTTGGGCTGAATTAATGTAATGGATTCTTTGTAAAACTAAATATATTGACATAAAGACTGGCAGAGATTGTCCCTTCAAGTGTTACAGTGTCTTTTATTTGAGAAATCAGAAAGAGTTGGAAGATATCTTTAACAAAAGATATCCACATTTGGCAAAATAAAAATCTGGCAGTCCAGTATTGACTTCTCTCTCCAACATTCCCCTCCCCCTTTTGTAATTTCCTGATCCAGAAAGTTTGAAAGTCTTCAGACCGGTGATTTAAATGATTCAATAAATGGGGAGGTGAAGAAAAGAAGAAATATCAGACACAGGAGGATGCATGCTTGAGGAATATTGTTTTTCAAAATTTTTTATTAGTTTTTTAAGAGATGTGCCTATATAGTAAATGACCTCTTAATGCAGTTAGGCTTATAATTAATTGATTGTTTTCTCCAGAAAGTTTAATTTAATGGGGAATCACTAAAAAATGATCTATGCGTACCTTAGTAATTTATTTTAAAATAAGATATAACTTTATATTCACTTGTCTTTTATTTGGGGGTGGGGACAGGATTCAGAGGCTGTTGATTGGGTTTCCCTAAGGCCTTTTTTACGGAAACTGCACTCATATTGCATGACTTGCCTTTTACAGTTTTGGTTTCTTTAAAGTGGAATGAGAACTTAGCCACATGCAAAACAGCCTAAGGCTGGAAGCCTCTTAGTTTATCAGGATTTCCCCCAAGTTCTTCAGGTTTGAGTTAAGTTCTTGTGTTCTGTGGTGACTGCCTAGTCCTAGTAGCCAAGTTTTACCATTTCCAGGAAATGAATTAAAAAAAGTTTACATTTTTAAAATGGAATAAAGTCTAGAAATGATAGCCTTGCTGGTCTGCAGTCTTTATAGAGCATACACTTGAAGCATGCTCTTATTTCCATTGGGGAAGACTTGTACACTAGTGCATAGTCGGGTAATCACAGCTTTCCTTCCAGCTTTGCCAATGTATTATTTTACATAAGGCAGTTCTCTGTTTAAAATAGGGAGAGTGGTATACAGTCCTTCCTAAGAGGATTAGTATTGGTGTTTACTAAGTGCTTTGGTTTCCCCCAAACAGGCACTTAAGCACATAAACAAACATTATATTTACTCTGTAGAGAACTGTATTAATAATGGATTATATTGTTTCTTTGAGTTTATTGATGATTTTAATAAGGAAGAATAGATATGTAAAACTATGAATTTTCATAGATTCAGCTATCCCTTCATGTAGTGCAATCTTTTGCATGGTGTATAGGATATTGGAACCTATTTATATCAAAAAAATCTTAATTTAATGTAGTATGAAATCTTATTCAAGATACATGACTGATAGACTTTCCAATGTCAGGGTGTTCTGTAAAAAGACACGTTTCTTTTTGTACTTCTTGTCTTCTTCTGACCTCTGCTGGTGAGGTCTAGGCATGCCTGACTCCCATCAACTTTGTCCTCACTCATGAGTCCTAACTGAAACGAAAAACAAACTGTTAAGATAGGGAAAAACCAAACTGTTTTTCCTCCTCTCATACTTGACACAGCACAGAATACTTCCGGTTACCAAGATATGTGTCGGTTTTTCCCCAAGTGGACCCCAAATTTAACTCTACAATTTAACTCAATTCTGACACTAACCAGAGTAGGTGCAGACCTCACAGGTTAAGAGCTCACTTCCATAAGATTGCCTCTCACGTCAGAAGCCAGTTGAAAGTCTTAGGTTATCACCTGTGAAGGGCTATAAATTAGAGGTTCCCACAACCTCCAGGAGGGAACTGGGGGCAGAGATCATATAGTTCTCATTATATCACAATACGCAGTAATGTTCAAATAGAGCCATTAAAGCATCTGAAGACTTGAATCTGAGCAAATCCCAAGATTTCTTATTCTACAAGAGAAGGCTATGTAATATCCATCCATGCATTGTGTACGTGTCTAGCCTTTACTATCTGAATTATTAGCCATGTTAATAGTGGGAAGGGCCTTGGACCAGATAGAAGACAAAGCTATGTAGATGATTCAACAAATGATTATTGAATACTTACTATTCAGCTGGTCCTGTACAGGGTTGAAAACGTAGTCTCAGATCACTGGAGGTTGAGAGGTAACAAAGAAGATATTGGTTCCAGTTTTAATCCTTCGACCTTCTTTGCCCCAGTAGGAGAGGCCAGTTCTGACTTAGAGGCAAGATCAACTTAAGACAATAGGGTATTATATCATAAACTTTAAACAGAAGTTTAGCCCTTCCCTGAAAACAGCTCATGGGAAGAAAAGTATACAGCAGTGTAGCATTTTCTTAGCTAGTAGAGGTAATGGAGAGATAGCAGAGGGAGTAGAGGTGGAGATGATGGCCTTTGCATTATTTTCCTTGACTGTATGTTGCTCTGACATTCTGAGAGAAGTAGAATTTTCTTATGTCAGAGTCTTCTATACAATTATAAAAATTTCATTGGTGAGAAGCACATCCAGTGCCCAAAATTTAGTTTTGAACATCTTCTCCACTACAGGGAATCACAGGTTCTTGAACTGATGGCTGACTGCAGGTTGGGATAGGGAGAGTATAAGGTGGGCCAAAATCATTTTGTACCAGAACACTAAGAAATGGTAAAAGACAAATAGGGCATATCAAAAGGACAAATTTGAAGGGGAGACATTGCCACTCAGACGGGAAGTAGTCTAAGCCACCTCCTAGGGGACAGTTTGAGGTTCAAAAAGAATAATGATGATAATGGATTATAATCATGGAATCAAATAATTCTTTAGATTATAGTGATATTGAAAGGGGAGGAGCTAGAAAAGAAAAACTTTTTAAAGTCCAAAGTTAATAATGTCATTTCATAATATAGAAGGAATGATAGAAAAAAAAACCCAAACACCATTTTACCACCATCACAGTCATAATTGATTCAGGTAGGGATCATCAGTGGATGATGAGACCATTGGGTAGAGTTGTTAAGGAACATGATATGCGCCCCATAATTGATTCAGGTAGGAATCATCAACGGATGATGAGACCATTGGGTAGAGTTGTTAAGGAACATGATATGCGCCCTGTCTCAAAGTATATCACGTGGATTATTCATTAGTTACAAAAGGGAATTTCTCTATTAATGGAAAAATTGGGCAAATACTAACCTTTACTGAATGATGAAACTGTAGCATCATCGCTAGAAGTGGTACAGCTTGGCATCGTGTGCATCTGATGTGATGTGCTGGGAAAGACAACATAATGGGGTGATAATCCTGCTGAAATCCAGAGGAGCCAATCACACAAAGCCAGATAGTGTGGCCTTGACTTTTCAAAACATCAGTGTCATCAGAGACAAAGGCCAAGGCACTTTGGGGACCTGCCAGCAAAGGCAATGCCGAATGCATGATTGGATTCCGAGTTGCCCACACCACAGAAAAAACCAGCTATAAAGAACAGTCTTGGGGCAAGTGGGGAATTTGGTATATAGGCTGCTTATGAGGTAATAACCAGTTTTAAATTTCTTGGATATAATGGTACTGTAATCATGTAGGATAATGTGTTTTCATTCTTAGGCGATACGTACTTGAAATATTTAGGGATGAACTATTCATGTCGTGATTGTCTAATGATCAGTTCCCCCTAAAAACCTAAATAGTATAAATGAAATCTAGCAAAAGGTTAATAATCTGTGGGTCTCATGAAGCATTTATAAGTATGTGACATACTATTCTCTCAACTTTTCTGTAGGTTTGAAATATTTCAAAATACAAATTGAGAGAACTAAGATGTTTGTGTATGAAGCCAACAGAATTATTTAATATCAGTTTCATATAGGCTGTTAACATCAGCAGCTCTGCCTTTTGGCAACACTTTGAAAAGTGTTACCCGCATGATGGAATAATTCCATTTCTACCATTCTGCCACATACGGGATATTATTAACTTCTGGTTACTTCTGTATTACAGTGATCACATTGCTATCAGAAATAACATTCTGGTTTCAGTCTATCTGTTCATATTCATTCTACTTCCCACCCCTCCACCTTGAGACCACAGAATGTTATTAATTCCTTCATAGGGTTCAGTTGTTTTTTCTTATGTAAATTCTGTTTAATTTTTAAATGTTTAACTTTTCTTATATAACAACCACTGTTTTAGGTGATAAAAACATGAACATATCCAGTCTCTGTAGTCAAGGAGTTCATACTTTGATAATACAATTTGGGCATTTAGGCCAACTAGAACACAGGTGTTAGGTGCTGTAACAATGATCAAAATAATTCTCGTTTTATAGATGAGACAATTAAGGTACAGAAAGATTAGGTAGTTTGCCCCAAATGAAACAGTATGGGACAGAACTCAGATTTGAACCCAGGTCATCTGGGTCTTGAATCCATGCCATGGAATGCTAAGGGAACAGTTGGTTTTGCTTGGAACATGGAGCGATCTGGGAAAGGTTCCAGGCGTTGGACATTTGACCTAGGTCTTGAGAGGATGCATAGGATTTTACCAAATGATGGTGAGAAAACATGACAGGCAGACAAATAGGAAACATTTGTCATAAAGGCTGAAAATGCATTGTGTATGGGAATGACAAATAGTTCATGGTGGCCAGATCACAGAAGTAGCAGGAGGTAGAACTGGAAGGTGAATTGGGGCCACATTCTGAAAGGCTGCTCATGTGTGCTGTGCTAAGAAATTTGAACTTTACTTCTAGAAAATGGGTAGCCATTGAAGGATTATAAACTGGGACATGTGTGAAGGGTTGTGGTAGCAGTGTGGAGGCTGGAGTGAAGACAAGGATCCCAGCAGGGAGCTTCTGTTTTCATCTAGGAACTCTGATTACCTGAACTGGGGAAGAGGACAGGATGGAAGCAGGAGACAGAACATGGACCCAGCAGAGTGTGGTTTGGGGCTGGGAAGTGAGAGAGAAGGAGGGCTTAGTGGGTAGTGATGCTGTTAATTCATGTCAGGGACAGAAGGGTACTAGCAGCATGTTTGGGAAAATAGTTTCGGATATGTCGACTTTAAAGTCTCTGTTGAACTTTAAGTGGAGTTTCTAATACACTATTATATTCCAGTTTTGTCTTATTGTGGTTGAGTCTATGGCAAGATGACATTCCCTAGCTTATTTTTTGGGGGCACTTAAGTTCACATTTGTCACATATGAATATGTTTTCAGTTACTTCTTCAAAACAGTTGCTGGAATAGTTAGCTTCGGCATCTTTGGTGAGAAAGTATATTTCATCTATGAATTATAGATTCATGATTGGGGGAAAGAGACTTTCATGTGCATTCAAGTTTGGTATTGTTGAATGGACAGCATTATGGAGTTAGCACTTAAACTTGATTGAATACTGATACATAATTTTCGGATCCTATAGCTTCCCAAGGGGTGTGTGTGTGTGTGTGTGTGTATAATATATATTATTTTATTTTATTTTTTGCTGTAGGGAAAAGCATACTTAATGATCCTTAATTTTTTTTGTATGTGTATGTGTGTGTTTTGTTCTTGCAGCGTGGGAATGTATAGCATTTAAAATAATCTGTATATATGATAAGCATTAGAATTCAAAAGTGTGCTTTTAAAAAAATGACTGCTTCCTAAAGTGATTCATTGATAATTCATGGTCATAAAAATGAAAGATAGCAAGAGACCTGCTAGATCTCAGCAGGGTTGTTCCTGGCAAAGTGTATGTTGTTATACTCTTGGGTTGGCTTGAATTATTTGGTGTTTTCCTGTTGGTGGAAAAAAGGATTATGCTTTGAAGAAGTCAGGGGAGAAAGTGCAGAAGAACAAAAAATACCAAATGGCAATTTAGATCAATCTTAATTTTTCACAGCTTGGCCTTCTCTAAAGTCACATTTAGCAGAAACATTAATTAGATTTCAGTGCCCCACTGAGTTTTAAAATTAAACATATTTCTGGAACCATCTGCAACAGTTTATCACTAATAATATAATGAGGAAAATATACTTAGCCTTTTGAAAAATACGAATTATAAAAGAATATCTTTTTCTCATGAGTGCTCATCTTTTATTGTGAGAAACCCATCAAAAATTTTAAAAAGAGTTAGGTAATTGAGAGTTTTAAGAATATGCCTAAAATTGAAATTCTATAAAAATATTCTCATTGGTGAGATAACTTTTCCTAAATTCAGGATTTTCTTTGGAATTTTATGTACTTTTAGGTCTAAAAATAGTGGTGGTGAGGCATATATGCCATCTGCCAGCATAATGTCTGCCTGTTTGAGGCTGGATTGCAGACAGTCAGTAAGGAGCTGCTGCTTCCATCCAGGAATGATGATTGCCTGAACTAGGGCAGAGGACAGGATGGGAGCCAGAGATGTGGTGGCTCAGAGTGTACGTCCTGGAGCCAGGCTTGCCTGGCTTTGAATCCGTCTTCTACCACTTATGAGAGGGGTGACTTGGGACAAGTCCCTTAAGCCCTTTGTGCCTGTTTCCTCATTGTAAAATGGTGACAATCATACCTACCTCGTGGGGTTGCAGTGAGCATGCATCCTTGAGTATAAAATGTATCCTCAGAATGATTTTCTTTTCTGAGTAGACTTGTATTTTCATTGCTTTTTATTCATATACTTACTACTCATGGGCCCAGGTACTTAGGAAAAAATATTCCTTCTCCTGGAAACCAAACAAGTGAAGAGCGAGCATTTTCCGTCTCACTTTCCCCATTCCGCAGCCTTGCCCCTGAATTTCACTTGAGTGGGCACGCAAGAGACTTCTCCCAACTTTGGCAGCCTGGTGTCCTGATGCTTTTTTGTAAACCCTTTGGAGCTGCTGTCGGCCCCTGCTGTCTCAGAAATACATGCATTCTCAAGGCTGCCTGGAACATTCTTTCCCACATTGCATTTGATTAAAAAAAAACAAACCCTAATAATCTCTCTGTTCCTCATTTTGGGATCATTTTCTCTGGCATGCCTAGGTGGATTTGACTGCCCCTTCTGCCGTGGCCCTTCCTGCCTGTGCCAGTGCCTGCCACAACGCAGTGTGTTCCTTGTCCATTGTCCTTAGCACCTGGTCAAATTTCTTTAGGGCAGCAACTAGTACTTAGTTTTATTTTTTTTAATAGTTTCCCTCTAGCATAAGGCTACTTACACATTAATCTTTCCATTAAATAAATAAACAGCCACTTTTCCTTTAAAAAACTCTCGCTAAAAACAACAATATACTAGAATT
Source organism: Homo sapiens (assembly GCF_000001405.40). Taxonomy (NCBI): domain Eukaryota; kingdom Metazoa; phylum Chordata; class Mammalia; order Primates; family Hominidae; genus Homo; species Homo sapiens. The sequence continues at coordinate 11,510,045 of NC_000010.11, read as the reverse complement.
CAGTAAAATAAGAAAGAAGAGAATTAAATTTCAAAGTAGTGTTTTTGTTGCTTTGTAAAATATTTCAAAATATTTTTTAAAATTTTGTTTAAATTTGTAGAATACACAATATTTTGGTTACTTTTCAAGTCTTGGAAAATTTAAATAATATCTTTTTACCTAGAGAGAGCATTTCCTATTAATCTTAACTTTAGCTATGGACTAGTATTGATACAGTTCTGATATTATCCAACTTTTTACAAGTTAGGATATCTGCTAATATAGCATAACTTTTTTAGTTCCTTTTTTAGAAGCATTTTCTTTGAAGTTTTTTATAACTCATAAGTAAAGAAACGAACAACAATAACAATGAATTTCAATTTTATTTTAGCAAAAGCACCTGGAAATTGAAAGAACTACCAAATGGCTGAAAATGCTGAAAGGATGGGAAAAATACAAGAACACTGAAAAGGTAATTTAAAATCATGTTTTTCCATATGAAACTATATAAACTCAATGTGGATTTTCATAGTAGAAGTTCTTCTTTAATTATAAGAGTGTTACATTCATATTTGGTTTTGAAATTTTGGTTTAATTTAGCAGTATGCCTCGAATTAGGAGTTTTTATATTGTAAGTAACGTAATACCCGATTCGGATTGGTTTCGACATTTAAGTCTGTATTGAATGGTTCAGAGGTGGGATGGGTTTCAGGAGTGATTTAATTCAGCTGCTTAATGAAGTTGCCTGTGCCATAGTTTCTTCCATCTCTTCTCTGCCTTCTGCACTGTCAGCCCCATCTTGAGGTTGGCTTCCCTTTGAGGTCAGAATCACTGGAGCAGTTCCAGGCTTTGTATCCACAGATCATACTGCTCAGAAAGAGAGAGGGCTGGCCTCTGAAAGCATTCCCTCAAGCAGGAGCAATCTCCTTTTTCAAAAGCTTCTAGCAAACCTCCCCTTTAATGTTTTTGCCTTGCGTTGAGTTTGTGCTAAGTTAGTTAGAGAAAAATACATACATATATTAATATCACCATGCGTCTCATCAGAAAAGTCTTTAAACAGTGAGAAGATGTCAAGCTCCTGGTGGTAGAAGTTTTCCAAAGCTGTTAAGTTTTATTTGAAAGGTCAAATATCATCAGTGGCAATAAATACTGTGTCAGTTATCTTCCTTCAAGTGACAGGCTCATTTAAGATATTTTTGAGATAATGTCTGCCAGATACCCAGTGCTTGAGTGGCAGTTGCTTATTCTTTCAAGTAATAACAGTGGTTTGTGAAAATGTTCATGATTCAAAGAATTTCATCCTAAGCACTTTTTCTTGACACAGTCATTGCACTTGGTTGTGCAGCACAGAGCTCCGTATGCACTTCCCGTCTCGTCACTGCTCGTTACGTTAATAAGACCTCTGTCAAGGGTTGATATTTAATCAAGTTAACACTTTTTACTGCTTCATCGAGGGCATTCTTAAGTTAAACTGACTTTTTAAAACACAGAGTGAGGAATCACTAATTCCACAGTACAGCACTACTGCTGCCTTGATTAGTTCCAAGAGCCGGTAGTTTTACCACCATAGCTTTTCTATCATCAGTGCAAAAGTTTCACTATAGCTTTTTTATGATCGGTGCAAAAGTCAGCACTGTAAAAAGAAATAGTTTTATTATGAAAATCGTTTTGGTTTCATGGGCCATATTTTGAGAACCACTGATGTCTAAGCCTCAGTTTCCTCATCTGCAGAATGGAGATAATAGTGTCCCATTTCAAAGGGATGAAGATTTCATGATTTAATGCATGTAAAGCACTTAGCATTGTACCTTACATAGAACAAGCATTCAGTAAATGTTAACTACCCCTATTAATTTCTTGAAGGAAGGCTGAACAATAAAAACATTTTAAAGGAAAAAAAGGAAATCTAACTTAGTCCTACTAGCAAAACACAACTGAGTTAACTGTTGGGATTTTTGTCCATTCCTCACACTTTTTTCAGTATAATCCTTTCTTTTCCCTTTTTGTATAGATACAGATTATCTTATGTCAACATTTGCTGATGAGAATTCCAGGGAGCATGAGTTTCTTGGGTTCTACTAGTTCCACAGAAGCAGTAGTATAGCCTGATGGTGAAGAGGCAGATTCTAGAGGCAGACTATCATGGGTCAAACCCCAGCTCTGCCACTTCCTAGCCATATGACCTTGGGAAAGGCATTTAACTTTTTTCTGCTGTACTACCTACCCCATTAGGCTTGTTGTGAGGATTAAATAAGTTAGTTGATGTAAAGCATAGAATAGTGCCAGGCGTTTAGTATGCAGTCAGTATGTGTTGCTTATTATTAAATGAGGAAAGGGCTCTCTGGTTAAATAAAGTTGGGAAAACCTGAACTAAAAAAAAATTAAGCAAGATTTCTTTCTTTACTGTAGGATTATTTAGTCTTTAATATGAGGTATGAATTTTTAAGAGGGATCTTAAATCACATGAAACCGACTTAACCATGGGAATCTTTTTGACATGGGTATCTTACAGAGCTAATGAGCCTTTTCTTTTTGAGCATACTAAATATCCTTAGGCTCTTATATTACTTTGTTTTCATCAGGGGTGAGTTCATTTGGGGTGGTTGATTTTATTAACTGTCTGTTTTAGCATTAGGTTTAGAACTCAGGATGTTTTTAAGAGGACACACTTCAAAGTAGAATATTAGTTACAACATCTGTTCTCTTGTTTAATATTATGCAGTCTCAGATTGGCCTACATTTGACAACTACTTTACATCTTTGTGGAAAGATTGCTCAAGTGGTAATTACAGGGTAGATTTCAATGCATTGCACCTATCCTTTAATCTCACATTCATTCTAATAAAATATTTGTAGAATGAATATTTTGTTATTCTGTGGTCTACATATGCCTATGAAAGTACGTAAGCCTCTCTAAAAACGAACAATTCTACTGGGCTATTATTCTGACAGCAACTCTGGCTAATGCAGTTCCCATTTAGTGAGATTTTAGCAGTGCCATGTCTTTGAAGTATAATTTTGAAGCACTCTCCGATAACTATAATGCTAGAATCATTTGATGATATATGTGGCCCAATTTGGTGTGAAACAGAATGAACCTTCTAAAAGAATTACTGCTTTCAATTCACACCTAGTTTTAAATTGCATTCAAGTAAAAAAACTAGCATTTTTTTTCTTGTCTTTCAAGGAGAAGTATGTTTTCTCTCCACAGATTCCTTACTTATATAGTAGTAATACAGAGAAATTCTAAAAATATTTGAAATAAAAATATAGCCCTGGTAGGGAATATTTGGATTTTTAGAACCCAAGCTTTAATGAAAAAAAAAAAAAAATTCTGTTAAGGTTGTTTGTGTTGCCTCTGTTCTCACAGTGACTGCCTCCCTATGTACAGTAGTATTGTAAATTTTTTTGTTTTTTTTTGAGAGACACGGTCTCTGTTGCCCAGGCTGGGGTGCAGTTGCGCAATTATAGTTCTCTGCAGCCTGCAACTCCTGGGCTTAAGTGATTGTCCTGCCTCAGCTTCCCAAGTAGCTGGGACTGTAGGCAAGCACCACCATGCCTGCTAATTAAAAAAAAAATTTTATTTTTCTAGAGATAGGGTCTTGCTATGTTGCCCAGGCTGGTCTCGAATTCCTGGTGTCAAATGATTCTCCTGCCTCAGCCTCCAAAAGCATTGGGATTACAGGCATGAGCCACTGTGCCCAGCCTGTATTTTAAAAATATAGTCTATGAAGTGAAGTTATCTCTGTTAAGTGGAGACCATTATGATTTAACTGGTCATGATATACTTGTGTCTAAGCTATGTCACAGCAAAGTGCCTTCTACAAATACACATATTTTTTTGTTGGTCAAATAATTGAATGGACCTTTCAGACCATATTAACCATTTTTTTTTAACTGACTGGAAAATGGAGGCATATTGCCTAGAAATAAATTTCTTAAGGTCACACAGCTTGTTAGCAACAAGCAAAAGAATGTCCAGACTTAGAGCTCATTTAACTGTACCATCTTTTATGCCAGCTTTCCCTTTTGGTGTCTGTCAGGGAAGTAGAATGTAGTTATAAAACACAGTAGGGCCTTGTGGATGGTTTAAAACTTTTTTAGATGCAGATTTGGGAGACCTGTTGCTGTTTGAAGGCAGAAACAAAGGAGCCAGTGGAGCAGGGATGATGAGAGAAAATGGAGAGGCAGTGAAAGGCATAAGCAGCTCGAGTGAGCCTCTGTTTCATGGCGCACACTCGCACAAAACTCAGCCAGGCTTGCTGGGCTGAAAAGTTTACTCACTGGCAGTCATAATGATGTGGATTGCACACTTGTCACTGTTTTAATCACCAAGGTTTAGAAAAAGGTACTGAAAACATTAGTCATTTGTTGGAATTTTTTTTTTAAGTCCATAGATTTTTAAATGTTTCTGTGGGACTACTGTAGACTTTTTAAAGATTTTATGTATCATATCTATGAAACAAATTTGTAGAAGAATCTTAAAGGTGATACTTTTCAAATTGGAATACTGAAATGTTACAATTCAATATGTAGAAGTTCTTTATCATGGTTGTTAAGAGTATGGATTCTGAAGTCAGACTCAGACTGAATTTGAGTTCTTATAACACAGTTTCTTTTGAGCTAGTTACCTAACCTTTCTATGTCCTAATTTTTTCATTTGTGAAATGGATATGTTAATAATAGTACCTACCTTTTTAGGGATGCAGTAATATTACAATGAATGAATTAATTTAGAAACACATAGCATAGTGTCAGCTCATAATAAATAATCAGAAAGTGTTCTTTAACAATTGTCATTATTACTGTTGGACTCATCATTATCCACATCCTTGCTCCCACCCCCACTTTTCCCTTCCTGGCACATTCCTATTCAGTATTGAGTTTATTGTCATTTTCTCTAAAGGAACTCCTTTCCATCTCTCACACAGGATTAGTTCCTCCTTTCTTCTGTTATCTCTAAGATAAGCTCAGGATGACAGTCCCTGTGTTGGACCCATAAGAAGTGACCATCACAGCAGATGCATGGCGCTCACCCCAGCAACTTTGTCCCTAACCCTTTTCTAGTTCTCTCTTAGAATTGTATGTATCTTTTTGTAGAAGGGCTAGCCACTCCCTGATAGCTTCTCTCACAGATCTCGACAGTGTGGTGCCCACCATCCTTCTTTTACCACTCTGGCTCACTGGGGAGTCTGTCTCTACCAGCACCTCCCCTGTCAGGGCATGGTGCTCAGCACTGTTAGCAGCTCATGTATGTGACTGTGTTTTATGATAAAGGATTCTCTGTTTAAGTTATAATTATCAGCTTACGTATTTCTCTTCCCAGTACGCTGTGAGCTCCACAGATCTTTTTCATGTTTGTAGCCACAGAACCTCATAAGCGTTGGCCACAAAGCGGGCATTCATTACAAGTTATCATTTTAGAATGAATGAATGATGTTCGTTTATGAGTTGAGGACAACCAGCTATCACTTTTTACTGATAAATTCTGCCACTTTAATAAAGCGGTAATTTTTAGAAGACAGTGTGATTTGGCAGAAAGTCCCCGAATTTGTAATAAGAAGGTAGAACTTTTTGACCTAGGGCAGATACTTTTCTTCTGTATCTTGTTTTACTTACATTTTAAGTGGAAACCACCCGCTGAACCTACATTATGGGGCTGATGTAGAAAAGATGAAATGCCACTTTGCCAGTTGAAGGATTATCAACAACTGTAAACTGGACTACTGTTCTGGGGAATAAGCAAATTTCATCCAAACTGTTGTGTTTGGAGGTAATTCCCACTTTGTTTTATAGAGTTTGTAAAACTTCTATGATAGTTAAAAATTTGTGAAGAAAGATATGTAACTGTAATAAGTTAGTCTGTCATGTAACAGTACAAGTATTTGAAAAACAGCATAATTAGAAAATTTTTATTTTAGGGTCTTATAATTTAATTCTTTTTCTGCTATATGTGATTTTGTGTTCATGTTTTGTTTTGTCACCTCCTACTGCTTGGATTCCAAAGACATCGTTTTTATATTCCTTTTAAGTTTTTGGTGTAATTATATTATCATTATTTTAGTGTTTTCTGCTCTTGGGCTTTCTTGATACTTTCCTGTTCGCTATTCCATGTATTTTAGTAAGTCCAGCTGGGCAAAACCATGGGCCGTGGTCATTGTTTTTTACAAACTGTAAAATCAGTCATCTTTTATAACATCTTGTGCTTGCTTTTGGGCAAGTTATTTAACCTCTTTGTGATTCACGTTCTACGTTGGTAAAATTGAGTTGTTGGTATAATTAAAGTTATAGAATTGTTAGTATAATTAAATGAGGTAAATATCCATAAATAGCTTAAAGGGAAGGGATAAAATAAAACAGATTAACTAAATAGTTTCTTATTTAAATAGTTGCTAAGTAGTTTCTAATAGTTGTTAAATAGTTGCTTAAAATAGTTTCTTGTGCATGGTAAATGCTCAGTAATTTGGATTAATTGTTGCCATGGATGATGATAGTGACACTGTATCAATGTTTCTTAAGCTTTCCCATATGTACCTGATTTTTAATTTTAGCTCTGTACTAGTATGGGGACCATTAATTTTTTATTTCCACCCCCAGATTTCCTACTTTTTAATGTAATCACAGCCATTTGATGGAGTTTTTTTCCCTAAATGTAGATTTAACTTTAAGATAAATGATGTACAGTAACTTATGTACAATTATTGAGTACAGAATTGAGCAACAGCAACAAAATAATATCTGAAGACTTTTCAAGTAATATAGCTTAAGAAATAAGTGTCAGAGCGCTTATGTTACTCATTAAAAATGTCATTATTTTACTTGTTCGGGTCCACTGAAGTCAGTCATATTACACGTTCCTATTAAAATTTTACTTTTAGCATTTGCAGTGATTTCTACACTTTCTGTTATTCAAATCAGTTGCCTGCAGTACGACATCTTTACTCTAGAAATTTAGAAGATAATTTGAAGTGACTTTTTGTGGATGATATTACTTTAAAATCACAGTTTACTATAATTGTGAAGTGGTATAGATCATAACTTCCTTTGGGAAAACAAGTCTTAAATTCACTTGTTTTTAACCACACATGCTTGTCGAGCATGTGGCAAATGTTGCGAGTCTAGTTTTATGGTCAACATGAAGCCTTTCTGTACATATTCCTCCAGTTAAAGTGATCGCATGGGATTAAAATTTCTATGACTGTAGTCACTATCTACTGAAATTTCAAATTTGAGGCATACTATATTTATACCAAAAGAACAAAACAAATTTTGTAAGTCATTATTTGAATCAACCTTACAGTATTCACTGTTTTATAATAAAAGTTGTTCATCTTTGTCACTCACCTTCAACCACATGATCGAAGTTTCTTAAAGCTGCTTTATGACTTAGTCACTAAAGCTTTAGTTTAAAAAAGTCTCAGTAGTGTAATAGTTAAAGCCTTGTGTACTACTTATTGTAGCTCTTCAATATTTCAATTATTAGAACTGGCATCTTATTTTCTGAACCATAACATTCAAGTATATTACGATGATAATAAGAGTACTAGTTCTTACCTGAAGGGCTTCTGCTATAATTTATTTAATTATTTCCCTGTTTGGACATTTATTTTTAAGTTTCAAAGTGTTAGGCACAACATTGTGATGACCGTAATAGGTTTTATGTTATTTTGAGTAATTAGACTTGAGGAAAAAATTAATTACAAGAAGACGGAGAGGTGTATTGAACTTAAGATTCTTAGGGCAATAGCAGTACACTTTCAAGGATGGAGGGAGTTGATGACACAAATGTTTCTTTTTTTTTTTTTTTTGAGATGGAGTCTCACTCTGTTGCCCAGGCTGGAGTGCAGTGGCGCAATCTCGGCTCACTGCAAGCTCTGCCTCCCGGGTTCACGCCATTCTCCTGCCTCAGCCTCCCGAGTAGCTGGGACTACAGGCACCCACCACCATGCCCGGCTAATTTTTTTGTAGTTTTAGTAGAGACGGGGTTTCACTGTGTTAGCCAGGATGGTCTCCATCTCCTGACCTTGTGATCTGCTCACCTCGGCCTCCCAAAGTGCTGGGATTACAGGCGTGAGCCACTGCGCCCAGCTGATGATACCAATGTTTCATGCCTAATTTCATTCAAAAGTGATGTCTTCCCTTGATGAAGATTTATCGTTGTTTTTGTCTTATCAGATAGCATCAATGTCATTTAAGAAAAAGAAAAAAGTTTTCCTGAAGAAATAGCAAGAACTGAAAAGAGGAGAGAAAAGAAGGAGAAAGGGCAGGGGAGGGGAAATGAGAGTGAGAAAGAGAGAACACTGAAGATGGCCAGTAGGATTAACTGGAGTTTTCAGATAGATGAGGAGAAGCTTGGTATCTTCTGAGAGACCAGTGAGAAGGTGGCAGGAAAGAGATTAGGAGTCAGCACTCTACAATCCATGAGGATATTTTGGGGACAAGGCAACCTTTTTGCTGTTTGGAGCATCTTTTAGGTGTGTGGGATAAAAGGCAGAAAGTGTGTAAGAAGTTAATTATACCATCAGGGAATGTGTAAATCAGATGTTCACACCTTTAAAAAGAGCACTGACTGCTTTTGTGCCACTTAAGGGACACTTCCGTAATGGCCTGAACATGCTAATGCATTGGGCATTCTTAACAATTTCTTGTTATACTCTCTCCTTCTTTGTCTGTATCTCCCTGTTAGAATCTTAAAAATAGAGATGACAGTACCTCCATGTGCCATGTTGAAATGTATTAATTAATTGCCATAGATGCTTTGAAAATACAATGCTAACAAATATTAGCAAGATTAACTGTAGAGACTAATCTAAGTTTTTTTCAGTTTGTAACCTTCAGTTTCTTTTTCTTTTAATAAGTTTCATAGGCGAATTTACAAAGGAATACCACTCCAGCTCAGAGGTGAAGTCTGGGCCCTCCTTCTTGAGATCCCTAAAATGAAAGAAGAAACAAGGGACCTGTATAGTGTGAGTAGCTAAAGCTAACTTGTTATTTTGAAATTAAAAAGTAAAATCCATTTCTTTTAGCATTCAAGGTGACATAAGATATTCATATGATCACTTAAAATTATATTAAAATTCTATCGCATTGGAGGTTTTGGAGGTCTATTTGTTTTCTTGATTGCAAAAATACTTCTTAAATTTTAAATAGATACTTCAGTAAAAATGTTATTGTCTGTATCAATAAGTATGAAGTGCTTTTCAAATACATAAATGATCAATTAAAGTAATTAGATGATCAATGTTAGGACGTGGTTGCATGGAAAATGGACTAACACCTAATTATAGCTGCTTGTTTGCCACATGGTGTTAATGGAGAGATTTGTGGTATCACTTTGAGAGTTCGTGGGAAACAGCAGCAGAATTCAGTTTAACCAACACCTGCTGTGTATGATTCTTTTCTTCTAGCATGAAAAAAAAGATGACTTTGCCCCAAGATTATTAGGGTATCTCTAGGTTTTATTATTTATTAATAAAAAGTTAAACTTTTGACTGAGTAATAATTTTTTTCTTAAATTAGGTGCTTTAAATGTATCTCCTTGTCATCTCGTAGCTATACCCTTTCTGAACCTAAATTTTCTATTAACCTTTGAAAGGAGTAAGAGATTTACATCTAAGAATCTTAGACCCATAGATTTTGAAATATGTTCCTTAGAAAATATGTACAAAAAAATTAATGTGGAATAAATGGGAAAAAATAAAAATTGCTGTTTTTTTTTTCTTCAACTTTTATTTTAAGTTCAGGGGTACACATGTGCAGGACGTGCAGATTTGTTACATAGGTAAATGTGTGCCATGCCATGGTGGTTTGCTGCATAGATCATCCCATCACCTAGGTATTAAGCCTTAGCACTCATTGGCTATTCTTCCTGATGCTCTCCCTCCCACCTCCACCCCTTGCTGACAGGCCCCACTATGTTTTGTTCCTCATCATGTGCCCGTATAGTCTCATTATTCAGCTCCCACTTATAAGTGAGAACATGCATTATTTGGTTTTCTGTTCTTGCGTTAGTTTGCTGAGGATAATGGCTTCCAACTCCATCCATGTCCTGGCAAAGGACATGATGTCTGAGAGAACATAATATGAAATATAACCCCAGCACCTAGTACAGTGTGCCTAGCATATGGTAGGTGCTCTGTTAGTATTTGTTTAAATAATGAAAGTAGAAAATGAAAGAAAAAGCACTTTATTTACATGCTGTATTCATTTAGGGCTGCTGTAACCAAGTACCACAAACTAAGCGGCTCAAAACAACAGAACTCTCTCTCACACAGTTCTTGAGGACAGAAGTCCAAAATTAAGGTGTCAGCAGGACAACACTTTCTCTCAGGGCTCTAGGGAGGCATCTTCCTGGCCTCCTCCAGCCTCTGGTGGTGGCCTACCATCCTTAGTGCATTTTGGCATCGCTCCATCCCTGTCTTCCTTATCACCTGGCTATCCTCCCTCCTGTGAATGTGTGTCTGTCTTTCCTGATAGGGACAATAGTTATTGCATGTAGGGTCCACCCTCATCCAGGATGACCTCATCCTAACTTGATTACCCCGGCAGAGGCCCCATTTCCAGATGAGGTCACAGTCACAGGTTCTTGGTGGACATGAGTTTTGGAGGGACACTATTCATCCCAGCTTGCCTGCTAATAGTACTCTAATTTTCAGTTATATTTTAGACTTTTTCTATGTAGAATAAAATTATCAGATGGCCAGTTAATACAAGAGAACCATTTAGTAAAATCTGACAGCAACTACAACAAAAGAATGACTTGCCTGCCAGTACCTTCAAGCCTATGATTTTCAACACTGTCATCAATATTATTTTTACTATTTGAGTTTCCCCCAGCATCATTATTTAGCCAACTTTTTTTTCCTTTCTCATCCACTCTTTCTCTCTCTCTCCACACATCCTCCACGAACTGGAACTTCAGTAGGACTAAAACTACAACCTTCTCTTAATCTGCCGAGACTTTTCTCAGATGGGTGAAATTATTTGGACCCAGCATATTATCAGCATTCAGTCCTTCAAGTTCCCCTGGTGGCCTGTTTGTCCTTTCTTGTCCCCATAAAGCTCTGTGGGTGGTATTGAAGAACGTATGAAGATGAATAGGTACAGTGGCAAGAATCTTTTCTTCTAGGTTGGAGGAGACATGGTTGCATAGAAATATTTAATAATAGTCTGTGATAAATACTCTAAAAGTAGGAGTTGAAAAGAGGGTAAGAAAAGAAATCACCTTTATGGTTCAGGAAGACTTCATGGAGTAGGAGGTGTCTTGGTGGGACTTTGTTTCCTACAGGAAGGAAAAAGATTGCTGAATTTCAAAGCACATTGCAAAGACCTTCCCTGATCTCCTCCAATTTGGATCTGATTAGTTTTAACTTGAAGCTTCATATTGCCGTATTTTAAAATAAAGTACCTACTTTACCATGAGGAGAGCTGACATTGTTTGAATACTTTTATGTCTAAGTGCTCTATGGGAATTACCTCATTTAGTTCCTGCAACCATGCCAAGATGCAGGTTTTGTCCTTATTATATTTATCTTACACATGAGGAAACTGAGCTTAGCGAGGCTAGGTGACTTTTCACCCCAAGGTTAGCAAGTGGCAGGGGTAGGATTTACTATCCAAGCTGTCTTGGCTGCTCCCATCTAATATGTTTTCCTCTTCTGTTATCTCATTTTTATTTTTCTCTCTTGCATTTAGCAGTGTACCTTACAGATGGTATAGGATCAGACCATAGTGGAAAACAGCTTCATCCACAGCCTTAGTGTGGCTCAGTAATCTCGTAGGCCAAACTCACAATGATAATCCTAATTTTTTTTTTTTTTTTTTTTTTTTTTGAGACAGAGTGTCACTCTGTTGCCCAGGCTGGAGTGCAGTGGTGTGATCTCGGCTCACTGCAACCTCCACCTCCTAGGTTCAAGCAGTTCTCTGCTTCAGCCTACCGAGTAGCTGGGATTACAGGTGCCCGCCACCATGCCCGGCTAAGTTTTCTATTTTTAGTAGAGATGGGGTTTCACCATGCTGGCCAGGCTAGTCTTGAACTCCCTGACCTCGTGATCCACCCGCCTTGGCCTCCCAAAGTGCTGGGATTACAGGCGTGAGCCACTGTGCCTGGCCAATAATGCCAATTTTTTATCTAAATGCTTTCCACTGTACTTCTGCCCTCAGGTTTATGGGTTCATTTGATCCCATTTTTTAAAATAAAGTATTTATTTTTATATTACTGTGACGCTCATGGATCTCAACCCACCTAATCTCAAAGGTAACTGTAGAAATTGTTTACCTCTTTTCATTCAGGAGTAAAAAATATGTTTGATTCCTGCATTCCATGCATTAGCTTATAAACATTTTAGGACATAAATAATATTTCTGACCTATTATTTTTTACATACTTACCCGGGCTTTTCTTCCACCATGAGGCCTTTTTTATGATGGATTTTCTTGTCCTCTGGAGGAACTGATACTATAGATGCGTTTGGGTCTTTTCTGCCTTCCTATTAACTTTTATTTTAAGGCATTTTATTTTATCATGTCTTGTCAAACATTTTCTTCCTGTGTTTTGACATCTCATCTTTTACAAGGAAGCCTGTAGAACAACAGTTGAAACCTCTTTACTTGCCCATTATCTTTTTTGTTTTTTCTTTCTTTTTTTTTTTTTTTTGAGACTGAGTCTCACTCTTGTTGCCCAGGCTGGAGTGCAGTGGCGCGATCTTGGCTCACTGCAAGCTCCGCCTCCCGGGTTCACACCATTCTCCTGCCTCAGCCTCCTGAGTAGCTGGGACTACAGGTGCCCGCCACCATGCCCGGTTATTTTTTTTCACATTTTTAGTAGAGACGGGGTTTCACCGTGTTAGCCAAGATGGTCTCCATCTCCTGACCTTGTGATCCCCCCACCTCACCCTTCCAAAGCGCTGGGATTACAGGCGTGAGCCACTGTGCCCGGCCTTGCCCATTATCTTAAAAAAAAAAAAAAAAAAAAGATGGAAGAGAACAAATATGTACAGATTTATTTTTCAAGCTAAATTTTTATAATATCTTCTGAACCACCTTTTTCAGAAATAATATACAATAATATTTTAGTGGCCATATGAATCTAATACAATACTCTAAATGTCTTCCTCTGTCTTGAGAATTCTGAAACATACTGTGGCTGTTCTTCCTGTTTTAAAAAGCTGCAGAAGCCCCTTCTCTGACCTTCAATACACAAAAATACACAGACTCATAAAACACTTAACATACACATACTTATTCTAGACATGCCCAAATAGCCTTATTCTAGACATGCCCAGATAGCCTTATAATAGACATCCCCAGATAACCTTCTTTCCACTTTTAGCTGAAGTCGGGAACAGTTATGTTTTTATGTATATTTATTGGAATTGATTCAAGCAGAAGTCCGTATTACCAGTACATGGTAAATAGGTCAATATAACATATGTATATAAATTCTTATTTATATTAAACATGGTTAAATTTTAATCTCCCATCTGTTTAAACATGGGAGATTCAACATACTCATTTAGCTCCCTTTCCCTTGAAATGCCACTAAATTGATAGCAGAGTTTTTATTATAAAAAGGCAAACCCACAGAAATAAGAAAATGGGAGATGCTTAACAGCTACCAGTTTTGGAAAATGAGAATGCAGACAGACATTTAGTAAACTTAGCAAACCTGAGGAAGCTAAATCCTAGGCTGGCAGTGGGAATTGGAGAAGCAACCTGATTAGTAGCTCAGAATCTCCGTAAGGCTTGGTAATTGCCAACTGCAGGAACCTCTGGAAGTGGAGGTGAAGCTAAACACAGAAGTGGTTGAAAGTCTGTTTCAGAAGCAGTTAGAGCTCCTTAGCTCCCTCAGTGCTAGCCCAAGACTGGAGGTTTGTTATTTGGCGAGGATGAAACAGAGGGCCTCTGGACTAGGGAAAACGCAGACCTTGCTGAGGGTGAGCTGCTGTCATGAAAGCAGAGGAGTTGAGTAGTTTAAATTTTGGACAGTCCAGCCTTTTTCCTCAACTCACCTCCCAGATCACTAGCAGCCAGGTGCTTGTCTTCCTGACAGGAGATTGGAAGAGCGTTCTGTGGGGGATGTGATCAGCATAAGAAAATAAACCCAAAGGTACTGACTTCAGGGAACCCCAGTCCAACTGCTTGGCCACATGCCTCCACGAGCAGGATCACAGTCAGGAAGCCTCACCCAGGCATGCAGCTTTTTTGTGTCCCACTTTTAAACAAAAGCAGAAAACGAAGTTTTGCTGTTCATTTGAAGAAGGGAGCTAACGTGAAAGACAAGTGGAAGCAAATGAAGAAAGCAGCTTGTAAGAAACAGATTATAGTGTAAAGAAGAGAATCTAAAAAACTATTTTTAATATCTTCAGAGAAAAATAGATACTGCATCCATAAAACAAGTATAGAATGCTATAAAAAGGAACACTCAAAAACAACAGAGCTTATGAATATAACAAATATTAGTAATGAAAAACTTAATTGAAAATGACAATTGAAGAAATTCCCAGAATGTCAGTTATAAAAGCAAAGAGATGTAAAATAATACAGAAAAATACAAGAAAATTAGATGATAGCCTAGGAGTTCCCAGACTGTAATAATAAGAGTTTCAGAAAAAGAAAATGGGAATGGAGGGAGGGTGTGGGCGGCAAGCCATCCAGGTGCTGAGGCAAGAGACCGAGGACACGAGCTGTTCCAGTATAATAAAATATAAAACAAGAATAGTTATACCAGATGTAGATCTTAGATATGATTATATATGAATATCATTAATCATTAGTTTGTAGCAATTACTCTATATTCCAATATTATAATAATCCTCGCTCTATAATCATAACCTAGGAAAAACCAGGCCATACAGAGATAGGAGCTGAGGGGACACAGTGAGAAGTGACCAGAAGACAAGAGTGCGAACCTTCTGTTATGCCCGGACAGGGCCACCAGAGGGCTCCTTGGTCTAGCGGTAACGCCAGCATCTGGGAAGACGCCCGTTGCCAGGCGGACCGAGGTCTAGCAGTAGCGTAAGTGTCAAGGGAAAACACCGGCTACTTAGCAGAGGGAAAGGGAGTCTCCCTTTCCCCGGGGGAGTTTAGAGAAGACTCTGCTCCTCCACCTTTTGTGGAGGGCCTGACATTAGTCAGGCTCGCCTGCAGTTATCCGGAGGCCTAACCGTCTCCCTGTGATGCTGTGCTTCGGTGGTCATGCTCCTAGTCCGCCTTCATGTTCCATCCTGTACACCTGGCTCTGCCTTCTAGATAGCAGTAGTCAATTAGTGAAAGTACTAAAAGTCTCTAATAAGCAGAAATAATGGCGTAAGCTGTCTCTCTGTCTCCCTCTCTCTCTCTGCCTCAGCTGCCAGGCAGGAAAGGGCCCCCTGTCCAGTTGACACGTGACCCACATGACCTTACCTATCACTGGAGATGACTCACACTCTTTACCCTGCCCCTTTTGCTTTGTATCCAATAAATAACAGTGCAGCCAGACATTCGGGGCCACTACTGGGCTCCGCGCATTGGTAGTAGTGGTCCCCTGGGCCCAGCTGTCTTTTCTTTTATCTCTTTGTCTTGTGTCTTTATTTCTGCACTCTCTCGTCGCCACACACGGGGAGAAACTCACCGACCCTATGGGGCTGGACCCTACAGGAAGGGAAGATGAAGAAGTTGACAAATGAATTGTTGAAGATGTCTGAGAGCTGAAAGATTTGGGTAGGAGTTTTTAAGATTGGAAGGATTCACTAAGTACCCAACCCTGTGGATAAAAATAGATCCAAACCCAGTACTGAAATGTGAAGTTTCAATACATGGAGAGAGAAACTCCTACAAGCTTCTAGAGAGAAAACGCAGATTGCACATAAAGAAACAGAATAGCAACACTGGAAGCCAGAAGACGGTGAAGCTGTGCCTTTTGAGCAAAAATATTTTCCAACTTAGAATTCTAAAACAGCCAAATAGTTAAATAAGAGGGTAGAATGATCAGATATTCAAAGTTTCAAAAATTTTATCTTCCATATAGCCTTTCACAGGAGCTACTAAAGGGTGTGTTCCTGCAGAGCAAGGGAAGAACCTGAGAAAAAAGATAGGAGACCAGGAAACAGGGGGCCCAGCATGGGAGAAAACCACCCCAGCAGGTGGAGAAGGGAGGCTCCAAGACCTGAGCTGTGCAGCAGGCCCAGAGGTCAGGCCGCACAGGCAGGAGCAGGCCCAGAGGTCAGGCTGCACAGGCAGGAGAAGGCCCAGAGATCAGGCCGTACAGGCAGGAGCAGGCCCAGAGGTCCGGCCGCACAGGCAGGAACAGGCCCAGAGGTCCGGCCGCACAGGCAGGAGCAGCAGACAGCAAGATGAAGCTGGTGGAACACCTACTCTACTGGAACATCACCTGAGGAGATTATACCATTTATAGTGGAGCTTAGGATTGAATTAGGTGGGAAACAAAGCAAATTGAGAAACAAGGCAATGATTAGCTTCAAGGAAAACAAAAGCATCATCCTGGAAAGAAACAAGAAATCATAACAGACTGCATGGCTCAGCCATGAAGAACTTTCACATAGTTCAGCAGTGCCAACTCTGAAAAGTTCTCTATCCTAAATTAAAATTAACTAGATAGACAGGATGGAAGAGAAGGAAGGTAGGGGAAGAGGGAGAAGCAGGCAGTAGGAGAAATGGGGGAATGGAGGGGAGGGAAAGTTTCTATTGTGTACCTTTTTGTATATATAGTTTTGATTTTTTTTAACCATTGAGTGATTTTTTTAAACCAAAAACTTTTTAATGAGAATTATTATTTGTCATAGAGTTTTCAACAACTAATTTCCATAAAAATCTGTTCTGTTCTCTCTTTCTCTCTTCAGAAATTAAAACACAGAGCACGGGGCTGTTCACCTGACATCAGACAAATAGACCTGGATGTCAACCGCACATTTCGGGACCACATTATGTTTAGAGACAGATATGGTGTTAAGTGAGTAAAGTTTAATATTATGAAATGTTAATCGCATTTATAAATAGTCTTTATTAACTTAAAATTAGAATGCCTTTATAGACTGTAATTTCGATTTAGGTCCTAAAGGTTTAAGCTTTTGCAGATCATTTGCGTCCATGTTGTGTGAAACTTAAGATCTAATTTAACTTAAATTTTTTAACCTTTGATATAGCACGTGCTATAAAATTGGTAAAGACTCATTTTATAATCTGGGGATTCTTAGAAATGTAGTAGATACTTTTATTAGAAGTCATAGAAGAATGACAGTGTGTGTAAAAACTTTGTCAGTGATCAATGTATCTCTATAACCTTGACCCCCATGCATAAATGAAACTTTTTTTAAAAAAGGGACATGAAATGAGAAATTAATGAATTGATACATCATTGCTATGACAACTTATAAATGAAAAGTACAGTTTTGCTGATCTCTGTATCAGTCAGAGAGTCTAATCAGGAAACAGAAACCAATAGGAGATATATGTTAGGACATTTCAAGGTATTGGCTTCTCCAGCTGTCGGGGCTGATTAGGCAAGGCCAAAATCCACAGGGCAGGCCATGGGAAAGGACAGTCTGGGCCTCGGGGATGAGCTGAAGCTGCTGGCCACAGGCAGAGTTTCTTCTTCAGGGAAACCTCAAATCTGCCCTTAAGGCCTTTCAACAGATTGAATGAGGCCTGCCCAGGTCTTCTAGGATAATCTCTCCTACTTAAAGTTAACAGATTATGGATTTTTATCAGTCTACAAAATACGTTCCCAGTGACACCTAGATCAGTGTTTTGTATATCTGGGGATTGTTGTTTAGCCAAGTTGACACCCAAAGCCAACCACTGCAGTCCAGCCTTGTCAACTTGGCACTCACACACACCACCTTAAACAATTTCCAAGTAAGATAGTAACCAAGTCATCCTTCCATCTAACATGATACCATTATTCTGCTCACAGCTGAAATGTGCTAATTCTTTCCCCACGTGAGGATGCCAAGTCTTTGGGAGATGATCACACTTCTGCTTTAGTATCCTGTAACTTACACACTGTGGTATAAAGCTGACTGTTATTAAGATACCTTATGTTAGATGATAAGGTAAAAGAGAGGGAAGAAGAAAATATTTGTTGGTATATATACAAGCACATTTACAAAAAAATAAGGAAGAAATACTCATAATAATTGCAGCAATCCCTTCTGTGACTGGTCATGTGGTCACAGGTGGTGTTTATAATGCCACGTTTCACTGCCCATTCCATATTCCCTTTGCCCTCAGCAAGCACTCAGATGGTTGTGGTTCTTTACCTAGAGGGATAACTCAAACCTTTCTTCCTGAAAATCTGAACCTAGCAGTTCTGCCTGAATTGGTAGTTTTCCATTGACTTTCATCACAGGGCTCAGTGATACTAGTAAGAGATGCCCCAAGTGTTCTCCTGCATTCCAGATGTACTCCTCCTTGTGTCTGTTGTGTCATAGCAACCCATGTTCCCCTTAGTAATCAGGATAATCCCCCCAGCCCACACAGCCACGTCCTTCTTTGCCTGTTGGTTCAGAGGCATAAGGAGCCCAAAGTGGTTGGGTGGCAGTTTCAGCTTCCAGGTCAGTGGAATCACTGTTATGTCTCATGGTGGAAGCATTCCTCCTTTTGGAACTAAGATCTCTCGACCAGCAGAACCCAAGCTTGCAGGGCCAAGAAGCAAACGCTTTGCTAGTGGATCTCTAGAGAGAATGATGAGTGGAGCCACTCCTACTTGCAGCCTTTGAATCTTGGATCCTTGAATCCTGGCTATGGGAAAAACAGCACCTTGAATTGGAGCCTGATATGGAGCATATTCAGCATCCCAAGGACATCACCCTTTCCCTGCAGGGTATTGTACCTTGCTGGCAATGTCACTGAGCCTTCAAAAGGCCATTCCACCATTCTGTCAAGCCAGCTGCTTCTATCAGAAGGGTCTCAAAGTGAGATAGATCAGCAAAAGAAGGCAACAAATTTTAGGAATTTTGAAGTGTTTTGTGTTTTCTTGGTATAAATCCTTTCAGAATGAATATTATCTAGTCTTGAATTTAGACTTTTTAGAGTGTTGTTTGAATTTGAACTTGGGATAATTTATTACATTAGTAATTTTATCTGGATTATCTGTTTTCAGTCAGTCTTTGGTTTATTTTTTTAAGTTTGTAATTTTTAAAATATGTGAAATTACTAAATTGTATTTAATGTAAATTTTTTTCTCTAGGCAACAATCCTTATTCCATGTGCTTGCTGCCTATTCTATTTATAACACGGTAAGTTGGGGCCTGCCTGCCCAAGGTCTTTGAGTTGTATTCTGAGGTACTCCCTACTTAGCAGGGCCCTGTGGGCACATTTCTGCATCTCAGAGCTAGGTGGTCTCCATGGTCTCTTTAGCTCTGTGGATCTTTTTAAGCTGAAACCCTGTGATAACCCTAGGGCCTTAGAACAGAGCTGATTCTGAAGTGGAAGAACCTAAATATGACCACAGTATGCCAGTGAGTCTCACCTTTTCTCTCTCCCTCCATATTGTTTTGCTTTGTAATGTTTTGTGTTGTTTTGTTTTTATTTTTAAGCAGATATACAGGGTAGAAGGACAGGAAGTGGGTGGCTTGGTTAATTTTTGCTTGACTTTTTATAACTCTCTTTGCTCTTGGGAGGTTACTTTTCACAATCACATTTATCTATTAGGTGAGGTCCAAACAAGATAACTATGCCCTTACTGGCTATCCCCAGGAGGAGGCTAAACTCTTCGGTAATAGACATGCTCTTCTTAAGGCATTCAGCATTGTTGGGGGAGAAGATAATCTGGGATAGATTAATTTGTGTTGGACTTAATGTGGGTGTTAAATGAATACTTGTTGACTAGGTCCCAGGGAGGACCTTTGAACCTTGGGATGTATAATTTCTATTGTAGTTAAAACCTTTAAATTATAAGAACAGAAATTCGCTCAAACTAGGAAAAGTTAAAAAGGGGTTTTTAAAGGGACATCTCATAGGAAGGAAGCACTAGTTGGGCCTCACCGGAATTGGAGCTGGAAGGTGGGAAGCGTCTGGTGAGAAGGAAAGCTGCACCTTCCATCTCTCCCATTCTGGGGGCCACTCAGTATCTCAGATGATCTCTGTGAACTGTTCAGTTCACTGTTTCTCTCTCCAGATTGCTTCCTTTGCCTACTGGCCAGTTATACTGCGGCTCAGATTGCACCCACAGATTCATTGTGAGCATTCTGTTCCAGTACGTACCCCCATCTGATTACAGTCTCTGGCTTTGTTCACATTTCATAGAGACAGTGTCTGATGAGTCAGTGCAACCAAATAACTGTTCCCCTGGGGTCAGCTGTCCTCTTCTGGTCCATTAGCTGTGGTTCCTGTGGCACAAGCATGAATCCTTAAGGCCACATCATAAGCAGGGACTATGGGGAGAGTGGGTATTTCTTAGAGAGGAGGCATAGACTGTGCATGGGCATCCCAAGATGTGTCTGCTTAAGGGTTCAGAAATCTAGAGGAGACAAGACAGCATACTGGGTGTTGTAGAAGGGGAGACTTTGCCAGCAACTGAGCAAAGAAGAGGAATAGTGAGCTAAGAATCATACATAAAGTGAAATAAATATTATCACTCTTTAAAGAAAGTGTGACAGTATTGAAGACCGAGTCCAATAAAAATATGTAGCAATTTAGACTTTGTACCTGTGCATTTATTTTTTAGCACAATTTTATTCTCTTATGTGGCATAATACTGTAAAGAGTATAGTATTTGTCTCTAGAATGGACCATTAAATGATGTGTGTAGGCATTTTCTGGTTTTTATAGAGTAGCTTTTTCTCTGTACATATGCATGTAATTCGACTGAACTCCCCAGCTTCTGTGTTCCCCTTTGCTCCCCAGGAAGTCGGGTATTGTCAGGGGATGAGCCAGATCACAGCTTTACTCCTCATGTATATGAACGAGGAAGATGCCTTCTGGGCCCTGGTCAAACTCTTCTCAGGCCCTAAACATGCCATGCATGGTAAGAAAACCCTGTGCTTTATCTAAACAATCAAGGTAGGGAAAAAAGTAGATTAAAACAAAACCAAAGATGCTTGCAAGAGTTACATACAGCAAATTTAATGTCTCAGGGCTCGTTGAGTTCATTAGTATTTGTTACTAGTTTCTTCTTTCATTTTTCATTATTGAACTTTTCTAAAACATTTACATTTATTTTCCTTTGTCTTTACTCCAAGGTATATTGTTGGCACTTTAAAATTCTTCCTTACTTGCCCTTGGTCAAAAGAAACTAATTTAGGTTTGGAGGAATTTAAGAACAGGTATATTATTGGGAGAAATAAAAGATGCCTTTTAATCAAAACTTTTAGATGGTCATGAAATTATCATTTTAGTGAAATGTTTACCATTGACTGGATATTGTGATATATAACAACTTGTCAAAAAAACAGTAATTGAGAAATGACACTTAGGTTTTTAAAGAAAAGGTAATAATTAAGTAGTTTTATATTTCAAGTGTAGTTTTTGTTTTTTCACATAAAATTGGTTCCACTTTAAATAAAAGGTTGATAACGTGTTCTAGGCACTCGATTATTTAATATCTCAGAACCTGCTGATTTTTTGGTTTTCAAGTTAACACTGTTTATAATAACTGTTTCCTTGTTTTTGCCAAATTAAGCAATAAACTTTATTTCAGAGAGTTTAGATTACAACTGTTGAGACAGGGTCTTGCTCTGTCACCCAGGCTGGAGTGCAGTGGTGTGACTCATTGCAGTCTTGACCTGGGATCAAGCCATCCTCCCGCCTCATTAGCCTCTCTAGTATCCGGAACCACACAGGCATGTGCCTCCATGCCTGGCTAATTTTTTAAATTTTTTGTAGAGATGAGGTCTCCTTATGTTGAGTAGGCTGGTCTCAGTCTCCTGGACTCAAGTGAACCTCCCGCCTCAGCCTCCCAAAATACTGGGATTACAGGTGTGAGCCACAGCCCCCGCCCTTAGATCACAACTTGTCTTGGAAATAAAAGTGGCATTTGTTCATATAATGCAAAATTATTTTCCCAGTGCCATCAAATTTAAATGATTTTAACACTAGTTATTCTAAGTGTTAATATCAAATTTAAAATAATTTTAACACTAGTTATTCTAAGAATGGATCTTCCAAGTTCAGTTTGTGAATAAGCTTTGTGTGGTGAGGAACCTGCTATATATTTAAAGTACTGTTTTAATATTTTCAAAATTATGACTTTCTATAGCCCATTGTTTGTGAAGTCTCACACTCTGACCATGTGAGGATATTGTGTGTGTGTGGAAGAGTGAGGGGGGTATGTATGTGTTTGCATTTGTCTTTCTCCCTTAGTGTTTCTTGCCAATTACTTAACAAATATCATCTGCATGGTAACTGGGTCTGGGCGCTTTGCATCTAGTAAATAGGCTCTAAAAGTAAGACATGTTATTATATTGAGTTGCCATCCAGTAGGCAGTATCATTCCAAAAGGCATCTTGAAGAAAGCCGCTCTTCCCTGTCAGTCTTTATTTTGCTTTCCCGTGGGATTGTGTTGCTGATCTGTCTTGAGGTACAATAGAATGCAAATTTAACTGGTATGTAATTGTGTCCAAGACTGTCCAATTTTAGGAAGTGGTCATTTCTTTTAAACCTATTTGATAGCTTACCTTCAGCAATTATTGTCACTAGACTAATCTATAAAACAATATTAATTCTACTATCCTAACTACTTAGAATGTAGTTTGGCTCATTATTAAGGGTCAGTTTATACTTAGAGATGTTTGTTTCTATGTCTGCCTATGAAATTTTATAACTAAAGGTTACTTTCTAGTGTGAAGGTGGTTTCACTTATAAATGTGTGGAATTGAAGCTAAGGATGAAAATATAAAATATGAGATCTGGAACATCAGTGGAAAATGAAGAACTGTTAGGCTTCTTAGCATTCTTGAGCTAGTTATTACTGAACTGTATTGACTTTTCGAAAATTAGACTTTTCTTGAAAATTTTTCAACTTCCATTCCTATCAAATTGACTATGAAAGTGGCACTGATAGATACGGATTTTTTTTTTTTAATGAAACAATTTCACTGAAAAATATTACTAAAGGAGAAATAGAATTTCTGTCTCTGGAAATTTTTACACACACCCTAGAAAACTGAGAACTAGTTAAGAAATAATTCTGCCCAGTAGATTGTAAAGCACCATTGCCCAATAGCATGTGCCTCAGGTTTTTGGTGGAATAGAGTTTCATTTTGGGGCAGCAGACTTTCTGGGGGGAAAATGGACTCCAAGATCACATAAGTGTGGGAGACTGAGTGAAAGAAAAACAAGTTTCATTAAGTCTAAAAGGCAAGAACATTAATAAGCTAAAATGCCTCATGAATATCTAAGAAGGATGTAAATGTGTCCTCTGGTTTCTTTTTCAAAAGCATAGAACGTCTGTTAACATCTTTCAGAGTTGCATGGAACCCAGGTTGGATCCTAATGTAGAAGAATCATCAAGTCTGTTGAGTGGACTTTCTTTTTAATGGATTGTATAGAATATCATGAAGAAAAATAGATGTAAAGTTCAATGAGTTAAATACACAAAATTAATGCTAACCATTTGTAATTTGTTACTTCTTAGATATAGATTATATTGTATAGTCACTTGGGATAAAATACCATTTTGGATATAACATTGATCATCTAGTGCCTGTATTTTTAGCAGATGTTAAATACAGCTTTTTAGGAAAGGATTAAAAAGCGATTTAAAACTTTGGGAACTTTATACTAATGAAATTCTTAGAGTAAGCCTGAAAAAAGTAATAAATTGTTATTTAACATATTAAGAGTAAAACAAAATGACTAGTCAGGGTTGGAATAATATATTACAAATATATGCATTTAAGATATGGCCCAATATCTTAAAAGAACAGATAATCTTGATAAATGTCTTCAGTGTCCTTTTTTTTTTTTTTTTAAGGTTTCCCTTTAAATTCAAAAATACAAAGTTATAGAAGATCTTTAGCAAACAAATCCTAGGCTAAAAGTTTCATTACCCAAAGCTTATATACAGTTTTTTCCTAGGTGGGGAGAAAAAATATTTTGGTAACTACTGAATGTTTCTTTTTATTTTTGACAGTTACAAATGAAATATGTTGTGTTTTAAGATTGGAGGGTTTTGTTGGTATTGTTTATGAAATGTTGTTTTTATGTTTGTATTCTAGGCTTTTTTGTCCAAGGTTTTCCTAAACTCTTGAGGTTTCAAGAACATCATGAAAAAATACTGAACAAATTTCTGTCCAAGCTTAAGCAACACTTGGTAGGTAGATGTGCCACTGACTTACACCCACCTACCCACCCCCCAAAAAAAGCTGGGATAATTAAATTGTCTTTGGTCCAATTACCTTATTAATTTATAGTGTCATCCATTTCATTTACTATGCAGTTATAATTCCCAGTTGTTTACAAACCATTAGATTTGTAAAATTTAATATTGACAGGCTATCACAGTTCTTACTGAGGGATTTGAACTTCTTTGAAGCTAATGATACAAACAATGTGATAATTTAAAGATATGGGATCTCCCAGTTGTTTTGGAGGTTTTTTCATTGTACAAAAAATATTTTTTCAGGGTCACAGAAACTCGTTGTTAGTGAACTATATATATGCCTTACTATAAAACACAGTAGTTTAGTAAAACAAAGAAAGCTCACTGTAAAATATATTAAAGAGAATCTAATTGTTGTATTACAGTCCTAAGAGGAATTTATTCTTGGAGTGATTTTGAGAAGTAAATGTGTTTAGCTTTGATAGCTGCATCCAACAGCCTTCCTAACTTAGTATTATTTTGTTAAATTTAGTTTGCTACAATCCATAAATTGTGAGCTCTTTGTTTTTTCAGGATTCTCAAGAAATCTACACAAGTTTTTACACAATGAAATGGTTTTTTCAGTGTTTCCTTGATCGTGTAAGTATTTATTTACAAAACTCAGTCATAAAATTATAAATACAAGGTGAGGGGAAGCTGTTAACCCTATTTTTGTTTTGTTTTGCTTTTAATTGTAGACTCCCTTTACACTAAACCTCAGAATATGGGATATCTACATCTTTGAAGGAGAACGAGTTCTTACTGCTATGTCTTACACCATCTTAAAATTACACAAAAGTAAGAAAATGCTTAAACTCTTAAAATTTCATTAAAAATTGAGGCTTATTTAACCTTGATTTCTCATTCCCCACCCACTTCAACTTCATTGTCTTTTAATAGTGGTTTAAATTTTTTTTGAAAATCAGTGGAGAAATTATCATCAATTGGTAATGTACTTTTGTAAGTTCTTTCTCATGACTAGAAGCTTACTTCACTGCAAAGGTCTTTGGTTCTTTTCTGTTTATATTAGTGTCATTTTCACACTTTTATAGAATGCAGTTAGTTGGTTTCACTAGTAATATTTTTCGTTAAGTATTTGTTTCCACTGGGATCCCTTGTCCTTTTCATCAGTCTGAATCTCAAGTTTGCAGTAAGAGAAGGAAGACCAAAGAAACCAGGCCCCTTAGTTCAAAAGGCTGGAGAGAACGTTTTCTATTACTGTTTCCTTCATCCAGGGAGAATAGCACCCAGCTGAACTGTGGTTGGGAGCACACAGACCCACTTCTCTACCTCAGTGCATTATGGCCTCTGGGGCAAGTTCAGCCAGTGTCTATAGGCAGATAAATGGAGCAAGATTAAAAAAAAAAAAAAACTGGAGAATTTTTAGTCTTCAGTTGCAATATATTTAAGGGCTCTATAAATTTGATATGTTATGCCTTACTTTAAAATAAAGAAATGAGATTTTTTTTCATGAAGAACCTTGTTCATCTTTAAAGTTTCAATTCAGCCTTAAAAATTCTGTGACTTCTCTTGTAGCTATGCAGAAAAGAAAATCATTGAAAGCTCTAGAGCTTCATACGTACACGTACTTCTAATCCAGGTCATACCACATAGTTTCATGTTCATTGTGCACTCAACTCTCTTAGGTTATTCTTGAATGATCTGTTGCGCTTCCCAACTAAATTATAAACTAATTGAGTGCACAGGGTCTTGTTTATAGTTTTTCTCTCTGCTGTGCTTGGCATTGTTCTAAGTACATGTTACGGACTTTACTATAAGATTGGTTGGTTGCTTACTTGAAAAGCATGGACTGCAGGAGTGCCAGATTATCCATACTTTAGATAGGAATGAAAATGCCCTTTAAAAGCACTTTTGTTATGTTTAGTTTTTTCAAGAAAAGGACTCAGAATTGTTGTGGTTCACTTCCCTTATACTCAGTTCTTCTTTCCCCAACTAATGCACCAGAACAAAACAATTGACTATGTGTCTTCCAGGATTCAAGTCTGTCATCTGATCTCGTGAAATCTCTTTTCCTTCCTCCCCGCACCGGCCCCCCAACACTGCCTTTTGCCTCCCCACCCCCCACCTCTCTCCCTCCCTCCCTACCCCTCTCCCCCCTCTCCCCCTCCCCCTCTCCCTCCCCTTCTCCCCCCCTCTCCCCCTCCCCCCTCCCCCTCTCTCCCTCTCTTCCTCTCTCCCTGCCTCTCTCCCTCCCTCCCTCCCTCTCTCTCTCCCTCTCTCTCTTCTCCTCTCCCTCTCTCCCTCTCTCCCTCCCCTCCCCCCCCACTTTCTTTCTGGATTGTTAAGGGATCAAAATAGAGAACAGAAGTACAGTTTTTATTAAGAGACATTAGCTTAATGTTCCCTCAAGAATGAGGAAGTAGAAACATACTTCTTTGTAGCTCTCATCTGCTTCTTAAATTGTTCTACTTATATGACCCTTGATTAATTTTGACAAGTAAAAAGTTTCTTTACCCTTGTAAATAAATGTTAAGCATAGCAACTGCTTTACATGCTACCGTATCATTAGACTAAATGAGCTGTGGACAAATCTGCTGCTGTGTATTTTTCTTGGTTAGAGACTTACGTGAAGTTCCGTCTCCACCATATAAAGCTTCCGAAATGGAAGGGTGGCTGCGGGATGGGAGGAGATGCTGGTTCAAGTTTCAGTTAGACAGTAGGAGTAAGCTCTGGAGAGCTGTCATACAGCATGGTGACTATAATTTATAATAATGTACAGTATACTTGAAAATTGCTGAGAGTACATCTTAAATGTTCTCACTATGGACAGATAAGTATGTGAGGTAATGATGTGTCAATTAGCTTGACTTAGTCATTCCACAGTGTATACATATATCAAAACATTGTCTACCACAGATATATACAATTTGTCATTAGCCAATTAAAAAAAAGAAAAACTCTTTCTGGGCATATTAACCAATAGTTAGCTAAAGCTCATAAGAAATTTTTTCCTTTTTCTTTTTTTTCTTACTGATTGTCTTAAAAATACGTTGTTACTGGAGGTTCATCACACAGTGGTTTTAAATAATAAAAAATCAAAAACCACCTAAATGACCATTAATAGAAGACTGTTTAAGTAAATTACAATGCTTACATATAGTACACATCATATTTGTTGAAATGAGAGATATCAGTGATACATTAGTGAATGGGGAAAAAAGCAAAAAGGGGAATAACTTGAAAAGTATAATTTGGATTCTTCAATTGATATACATAAACACTTGTAAATACCTGGATCTACCTGTAGGGTGTTATGTAATGAGGTGTATTATGTAGGGTATTATGTAATGAGCAGATTTTTACTTTCTGCTTTGTGTTCATATTTAATTTGAATGTCTTTTTCCAAGAAAATGAATTTCATAAATAGAAATAAAACTCACAAAATTAATAATCCAGATGTTCTGGGAAATTCTGAAACAGTAAGAAATACAGACTTAAAATGGGGCTTCTTGGAGCTCCGTATCAATAAAAGAGAAAGGCCTCATGCCGGCTGAGGTAGTCTTTCTGTGTCTGTCTCTAAGAAGCTCTTGCTCTGGGGTAATACTAATGCCTAGGTGTGGTTATTCCAATGAGGAAGTATTAGGCAGTATTCTCCTCCCATCCTTTCTCCCAGTAAACTTTCCTGCTTTTCTCTGTGGCTGCTTTAATATCAGGCAATATTTTTGTCTTACTGAGTTTTAATGATGTCCTCAATGCCATATGTAAGTTGTATGCTGCTTGCGCCCTTTTTAATGCCCTTTTACACTACACCTGAATATAATAGAATATCTTCCTACCTAAAGTAGCTATTGACTTGGCATTTTCATTTCTCTTATCCTTTCTTAGAACATCTAATGAAATTGTCCATGGAAGAACTTGTAGAATTTTTTCAGGAGACCCTGGCAAAGGATTTTTTCTTTGAAGATGATTTTGTGATAGAGCAACTTCAGATTTCTATGACAGAACTAAAGCGGGCAAAGTTAGACCTTCCAGAACCTGGTAAGAATTACCCCAATACTTTATATCTACGTTATAATTAAGATTGGAAGACATGGCATAATTAACATGGGCTGTTTCTTGCCCACAGCGTAAGCATTATACTTGTGATGACATAATGTGGATGAATGCCTTACCAGCTCAGCTGCTTTGGCTTTTTCCTTATTTTAGGGAAAGGCAAATAAACATATTAATTAAATCTGCCTCTCCTAATAGATGACTGTACTATTCCTGCTTACATTTAGAAGTTTGGTTGGCAAATACTGTTGTTCAACAGAAGTAGCCATGGTGCTTTAAACGAGCATAACAATAAGCTTTTTTTTGCTTTCTTCATCTCATTTTGTGAAACCGTATACAATAGTAAGTACAGCAATAGTAAGTACAGTAAAAGCCCCATCTTATAGATGAGGAAATTGATACTTTAGTGCCTAAGTGGCTTAAATATGAAGCCACAGAACCACAAATAGCATTACTGAGACTGCAGGCCAGTTTTTCTGACTACTAGCCCAGGGCTCTTTGTAGTATGCTACAGTATAGATAATATATTTTATTCACTTATTGTAAGACATTTTTCAGCACCTACTAATAGGTTTTCTGCTAGGTACTACTTTGCTGGGGATTTAAGAACTGAAGAGAAAGATGAGAAGCTCTCAGGGTGTGCACTGGAGAGCTAGAATATACGAGAATGATAACAGAGGGTGAATGGGGCATTACTAGAGCTAGCCGCAGGGTAAATGGGAGAGGAGCAGAAGAAGGGGAGTGCAGGAAGGGAGGGAAGAAAATGAAAATGTCGAAAGATCACAGGAGGAATAACTTTCAAAGTTTCTACCAGATAGTACTTGACCATGTATGTCTTGAGAAAAAGTTACTTTCGCTTTTCTTCTTTCTTACCTTTGTTGCAGTGGATGGGTGTAGTAAGAGGCTAGGGAAGTGGAAGGTCATGGGCAAGAGATGAAAAGTAAAGAAAGTCAGTTATGTATGCCCTCATGCAGAGGTGAATTTGGCGTTTCCCCATCAGTGTGTCATGTTGGCTGTGTCTGTACAGAAGGACAAGCAGTACTTCCATGGAAAATACATTTTTCCTTTTGGTAAAAACCAAGATGTTTGCTTTTATTTACTTAATTGAGAAGGGTCTAATCAGCACTGCTCCAAGGTTTGCTCAAGGTCATCCAGGCTCCTAGGAAGCAACCCTCACAGCAGTAATGGGGTGTGGGCCTTGGCCTTGTGGAGCCGTTGCCTTTGTTAAGTGAGGTCAGCCCTCTCCTGTTCAGTGTAATGACTTCTGTTTTCTACTATCATTTATTTTTATTTATTTTATTCTACTATCATTTATTTTTAAATACCTTGCCTCCTTCTATAAAAAGAGGTCAAGGCAAATTTTAGTAAAAGTCAAATATAGAGGAAAAAATATAGAACTATTTAAACGTGAGATAATTCAAAACCTGTGTCATGGATTGCGATGGTGGTGACTTAGCATCTAATTAGCAGCTAATATTTATTGGGTGTTTACTGTGTGCCACGTACCACAGGTGCCGTCTCATTTAATCTCTAAAAATAACTCATAAAAGTGCTCATCTACATTGTGCAGATAGGGAAACCTAGTAGCAGTAGTCTGTAAGATCGTTTTACCAGGAAATGATAGAATGGGGACAGAGAATGGGGCAGGGGAGAAAAGGGGAGGAATAAATGATAGCAGAATCATGCTCTGATCATACTGGCAGTGAAGGTAGAATGGATTAGGCATCTCTGCGTTTTCTAGCACGACCATCTGCCTTTCATCGCCTGCCTGTCATTCTTTTTAAATTGTTGTGAACTGTATATGGAACACTAAGATAATTAAATGAACCTCATACCAAGAAAATTCCATGTCACATCTGTCCTTTTAAAAACCTCCATGAGGCTGGGCACAGTGGCTCACCCCTGTAATCCCAGCACTTCAGGAGGCCGAGGAGGGCAGATCACGAGGTCAGGAGACCGAGACCATCCTGGCTAACACGGTGAAACCCCGTTTCTACTAAAAATACAACAAATTAGTCGGGCATAGTGGCAGGCCCCTGTAGTCCCAGTTACTCGGGAAGTTGAGGCAGGAGAATGGCATGAACCCGGGAGGTGGAGCTTTCAGTGAGCTGAGATCGCGTCACTGCGCTCCAACCTGGGCGACAAAGTGAGACTCCGACTCAAAAAAAAAAAACCAAAAAAAAAAAAAACACCTACATGAACATGCCACTTCCTTTTGACTCCTTACATAATGTGGCAGTGTGAACTCCCCCGAGTCATGTGCAATGAGGCCTGTTTTCCTAGGCCCACATGAAAACATGGTGCTGTTACATTTTAAAATGTTTACTGATTGGATAGAGTCTTCCATTGTTGTTCTGATTGGTAGTTCTTTGAGTATCTTTCTTAGATATCTTTGGGGCACCCTTCTTTCTTTTTCTGTGAACTTCCCTGTTCATCTGTTGCCCATTTTTCTATTGGTCTGTTCATACAGGTTCTTGTTAAGGAGGCTAGCCAGTTTATTATGTGTTGCAGACACCTTCCATACAGCTTTCCCTATGGCTTCTTGCTTTTGTGTTTTTTGTAAAGAATTTTCCACATGCTGGATGAAGTGTTTTTTCTTAAGTACCCATATTTCTCTTCTAACATTTATATGTTTTCAGTGCTTATGGGTACAACTTCATTGAGATATAATTGAGTATGATGAAATCTTCAGCTCATCTAGAATTTACTTTTTGTTATGGAATAAGAACTCAGCTCTGCTTATTTTCCAAACCATTAGTCATGTGGATTAGTGGCATTTATTACATTACATTTTGGCACTCTATTCTGTTCCATTGCTCTCTGCTTTTCCAGTTACACTTTTTAAACATGAGACAGGGTCTCACTCTGTTGCCTAGGCTGGAGTGTGATGGCTCAATCATGGCTCAGTGCAGCCTTGACCTCCCCGGCTCAAGTGATCCTCCCACCTCAGTCTCCCCAGGTAGCTGGGACTACAGGTGCATGCCACCACTCCTGGGTAATTTTAGTATTTTTTGTAGAGGCAGGGTTCTGCCATGTTGCCCAGGCTGGTCTCAGACTCCTGGACTCAAGCAATCTGCCCACCTCAGCCTCCCAAAGTGCTAGGATAACAGGAGTATCCGGCCTCCAGTTACACTTTGCATATCTATTAGGGCAAATGTCCCCTCATTATTTTATATTATTTTGTCAAGTTACAAAAAAGAATCCACTAGTATTTTAGTGGTATTCAGATACAGTATTTTATTAATATTGAGATTGCACTGACATTAAGGATTTTTGAGAGAAAATTGATATTTTAAAAATTGAGTTTTTCTAAGTAAAAGCTTTTATTTTACAGTCGTTGAGGTTTGTTTTCTTCATGTGACTGTGAAGACATTTCTGGTCTCACATTCCATCCCCCACTCGTGTACCATATGAAACGTGGCTGTCAGCAGGTGGTCACTGGACAACCACAGGTGTGCTACAGAACTGCCATTTCTCCACAGCCTCAGGTGTGTGGACGTCGCTGCTGCCACTGGCGTTGGAGCCTAAGCAGGGGCTCTGCAGAGGAGACCCAAACAGAGTCAAAGCAGGGGTGCCACGTCCTATGGGGGATAGTTGTATCTTTTATTGCTATTGCAAGTTGAAGATTTTCTTCCATTTCTTTCTAACTGGTTAGGAAAACTCTTGGTATCCTTTTAATAATATTTTTGTAGCCAATATATTTGATCAGTTATCTTAGGTTTTCTAAGATTTAAGATACAAAATCTTATCTTCAACAAATAATAGTTCTTCCTCTTCCTTTTCAGTATTCATGCATCCTATCTGTTTTTTAGAAAATAGCTAGAAAGTATTCATCTATTACTGTTTTTAAGTTTTCTTGAAAAATCAAAGTGCTTGCTCAGTTTTTTTGAGTGCCTTTTGAACACAAATAATCATTTTTTTCCCTTTAAAACCTTTTCACATTAATAATTTTGTTAATGTACCTCCTAGTGGTGAATGATTCATTGCAATTCTTGGATAAACTTTACTTGGTTGTTATAAATTATTCCTTTATAGTACTGCTGATTTATACTGTCTAACATTTTACTTAACATTTTGAATGGTTATTCCTGAGATTTCATTGCAGTTAACCAAAACGTCTGTGTGTTGTCAGGTTATACTGTCCTCATAATTTGGAAGCCTTCCTTCTTTCTCTGTGTTCTGGAACTTTTACATAGTATTAAAATTATTCCTTAACAGCTCGAAAATATATTTGTGAAACTGTTTCCGTCTGATATAATTGTTTTGGGGGTTAATGTTTTGATTTATCTTCTAAGGTCAATGTGGGTCATTTGGTCATTTATATTTTCCTAGAAAGCTATTCATTTCTAGTTTCTTAATATATTTATGTAAGGTTTTGCAAAGCAATCTCTTACGGTTCTTTTTATATCTGTAACAATCCTACATTTTCATTTCTCACTTTCTTTGTACCTTCTCCTGCTCTTTGATAAAATTATCCAGAATTTAGTCTTTATTAATTGGCTTGTATCAAGAATCAGCTCTTGAATTAGTTAATTCTGATTTTCTTAGTTTATTTCTTCTTTTTTCCATAAAGTCGAATTCTTGGCTGGGTACAGTGGCTCACGCCTGTAATCCCAACACTTTGGAAGGCCAAGGCGGGCAGATCACTTGAGGTTAGGAGCTCAAGACCAGGCTGGCCAACGTGATGAAACCCTGTCTCTACTAAAAATAAAAAAATCAGCGGGGCGTGGTGGCAGGTGCCTGTAATCCCAACTACTCGGGAGGCTGAGGCAGGAGGATTGCTTGAACCTGGGAGGCGGAGGTTGCAGTGAGTCAAGATCGCACCACTGCACTTCAGCCTGGGTGACAGAGCAAGACTCCGTCTTGAAAAAATAATAATAATAAAAAAAGTCAAATGCTTGATTTATTTATTTCATAGTATGGGGGTGGTTTGTAAAAGTGTTGAAAGGCATGTCTTCTTTTGCTGTATTCATGTCTATGTTTTTTTGACATGTAGTTTTTTATCATTGTTATAATCTACATACACTGTCTACCATTTAAATTTTTGGTTTTCATTGACTAGATTTGTGTGAAGAGGAGTTTTGTGGGGGTTTTTGTGTGTGGGTTTGGCATCTTTTATTTTACTTATGAAAACTATCAAAAATACAGAGAAATATGATGTAAAAATTAAAAATGATCACCCATATGCCCACCTCATAGATTTAACTATTGTTAGCATTTTTGTACCTTTATTTTATTTCTGTATGTTTTGTAGTTGCTGTTGAAACATTTTTTGAAACTTTTTTATTGTGAAACTTTTCAAACATATTCAGAAGTAAGGAAATGTATAATGACTTCCTCCCAGGTACCCATTGCCCAGCTTATTTGAACAATTTTAAAGTGAAAATAAGGACATCAGGATACTTCACCTCAAATACTTGTCTCTGTAGCCAAGAAACAAGGACCTTCCCCCAGCCAACCACAATGCCATTGCTACACTAACAAGTGTAACAGTGTGACTACAGTGTGACTCCTCAGCATCATCTCAGGCCAGCTCCATGTGGGAAGATTTCCAGTTGTCCCTTAGGCTGCCTGTTAAGCTGTTTTTCTCACCAGCACTTAGTCAGGGCTACATTTTGTATTTGTTATGGGCTTAAGTCGCTTGACAGGGAGCAGTACACCTTTCCTCTTCCCCCCTCTTCACCCCACCTTTTGTTTTCCTCTGAATGACACTGAGCTGCTGAAGAGCACAGTCCCACTATTCTGTGGAATGTCGCACACTCAGGAGTTGTCTGGTTTTTCTTTCCTGGTGTTCTGTGTAGTTTCAGCAAACTAGAAGCTAGATGTAGCAGTTTAATAAGATTTAGATTAGACAGGAGTCCCACAGTGACTACTGTTTTCTTAATACTGGAGATGCTGAGTTTGCTGACGATAATCATATCTTTTTGTTTTAAAATAAAAGTTTTTTTAATTAAAAAAAAATCTTTTCAGTTAGCAGATAATCTGTGGATGATGTCTTGACACTGTATGGAGATGTCCAGTTTCCCTTTAACGCTCTCCCTCATGCTTTTGGCTTCCATTGATAATCCTTGCCTATATCAAATTTCTTCAGAGGTTGCAAAATAGTGATTTTCAAATTCAGTGATTTCTTTTACTTTTTTTTTTTTTTTTTTTTTTTTGCGACAGAGTTTTGCTCTTGTTTCCCAGGCTGGAGTGCAATGGCACGATCTC
Organism: Homo sapiens; assembly: GCF_000001405.40. Classification (NCBI taxonomy): domain Eukaryota; kingdom Metazoa; phylum Chordata; class Mammalia; order Primates; family Hominidae; genus Homo; species Homo sapiens. The sequence goes on along the minus strand of NC_000010.11, from coordinate 11,475,544 downwards.
GGCTCACTGCAACCTTTGCCTCCCAGGTTCAAGTGATTCTCCTGCCTCAGCCTCCCAAATAGCTGGGATTATAGGCATATGCCACCACGCCCGGCTAATTTTGTAATTTTTTTTAGTAGAGATGGGGTTTCTCCATGTTGGTCAGACTGGTCTCGAACTCCTGACCCTCAGGTGATCCCTAAGTGCTGGGATTACAGGCGTGAGCCACCGCACCCAGCCTCTTTTACATTTTTTTTTTTTTTTGGCAAACTTTCTTCTGTAGCAAAGAGTTTTTCCTCCCTTATCAAGAGAGTTACCTTAAATGTAACTCTTTGGTTACCTTAAAATGTAGTTAGTACTGAAAAGGCAGAGTAAATGCTTCCTAGTTTTCTGTTTACTGGTTTTCCCCCATGCTGTCTTCTATTCAGATGAAGCCATTTGGCAGCACTTTTGTCAATTAACGGAAGTCATTCTGGTTAGAAAGCCTATGTTAATCCACTATGACTGCCAATTTAGCCAGATTTATAGTTTATGACCTAGATAGAAGAATCAAAGATTTTTCTCAGAATAGTTGACAGAGCCATTTTAGTCTTGGTAAATGGCCATAGCCTTCGGGGTACTTCAGTGCTTACGGGAGAACATCCACACTCCTTAGTGTAAGGTATAGCACTTTTCTGTCCGCAGCTTCCACACTTCACATCCCACCTCCCCGGCCGCTTTTGAGTCACATAGTAGTAATGATAACAGCAAACTGAGTCTTCTATGATAGATTTTTTGCTAAATGCTTTGAATTCACATATTAACTTAATTTTTTCCAGCAGCCCTTTGCAGTAGTCATTTGTTGATGCAAGTTTTTTTTAAAAAAAATCATTAATTCAAGGACAAATTTTCTATGCACAGGATTATTTAGATTTTAAAAATTAGTATTTATTAAACTCACAAATTTAGAAACGTATTTCTTCCTTACATTTAATTCAGTTTACAAAAGTTAGTATAGTATTTTAAAATCTGGCAAATTTTAACATTCTCGTCTAATGGAACTTTAATGTTTGGTTCCACTTATAAACATAAATTCCTACAAACGTTTTTAATTGCCTTTATAAATGTAATATATCCAGTTTCCTTTCAATGTATCAAATTTCAATTTAAATAAAATGTGTCCTAGTTCTAAAAAACTTACAAATCTAATTAATTCAACCTTAAGAATATCCTGAACCTTAAGTCTTTTGTTTCAGTATACTCTTTATAAGTTTAAAATCTAAAGTTCAAATCAGTGACTCATTTGCATATTTTTAAATTGGCATAAGAAGGCCAACTTGGCCAAATTCTCTGAAATATAAATATATAAAACACAGAAAATTCTAAATACAAACAGATTCCTTAATGCAAAAAACTACAGAATTAATCACCTTTGATTCTCTTAAACTTTGCCATTTAGTTCTGGATCTTCAGGAATTAAGACTTTTTTCCCAGGTAAACTTGGGGTGTACTTTCTCAGTCAGCTGAAGCATGAGCTGGAACTCCAGGTGAGTTCCATCGGGTGGCACCGCCTTTATTATCTCGAAGGTGGTGCCTGCGAGATGGCTTTGTCACATAGTCTGGATTCCTTAGACCCTCGTCGCCCACCACCTCATTCTTCCTTCTCCTCAGGGTCTGCCCCTTTCCACCCAGAAGATCTTGACTTTTTACCTTTAGAAATCTTTGAACCTGATGGAATCCTCTGTTCTTTTCATTTGTTCCTAATTTGGTAGGGCAATAATTTGTAATTAACTGACATTTATTTTAATTTTGAATAGTTTTCATGGGGAGTTTGCGATCAGTATTATTATTAGTAGCTTACCAAGGAGGAAACTTGGGCTTCAAGGTTAAGTACCTGCCCGAGGTCAGACAGTTGGTAATGAGAGTTCTGTCAGTTGACTCCAGAGCTGTGCATTACACCCACCTGGCCCTGCGCCTTGCAGCTCACAGCTCTAATCGGCCTGCTCTTTCAAGGCACTTTGCCTTGGAATACGCTCCTCCTCCAAGAATGCTCCCGACCATTCCCCAGATGCCTCTGTCCTCATCCTTTCTGCCAAGTTTCACGACTTGGTTTAAGCATCGCCTGAAGCCTTCTCAGCCGGTGCCTGGCCTCCCCAAACCCACAGAACTTGATCACCTGCACCTGTGTTTTGTGCCTGACCCGTCCACTACACATGCTTTTGTCCTCACACTTCCAGTGCCTCTGTCAGTCATGTCTCTATTAGACAGAAAGTTCCCTGGGACAGTAACCGGCTCCTGCCTCACCAGCACCTAATACACTGCGGGGCTGTGGCTGTGGCTGTATTTGTTACTTTTATTGAATAAATGAAATCCTAATGTATTTTTTAGATAATAAAAAAACTACTGTTTATAAAAGGTTAGCCTGAGGCAGTTTTTGGGGGTAGTGAAACCATTCTCTAGCTTGACTGCACATACATAGAAACGAAGCCATTTTATTGTATGTCAGTTTAGAAATTGCCCCACTTTTTGAGGATTGGAGTGGGTTTTCACTTTTATTTATTCATATAATGTAAAATGATGTTACATTTAACCATTTTTACATGTGTATAAAAATTGAAACTCTAGGAGACAAAGTGTAGGTTTTTAAAGTTACTTAACAAAGACCTCTTGAATTTATGTGGCATTAAATAGGTTTATAGTGAGAGATGTGTTTACATAATAGTCTCTTTTTCCTTTAACTTTCAAGTTTAATCTGCTGGGAAAAAAAGTCAAGCCTATGAACCCAACTATAAAAATTTTTTGAACTTTAAAAAAATTATAGCCATACTTTAGAAAGCAAATTCTATTTCTTTTCATCATGTTATTGAAAGCTACAAGTGTTTGAATTGTATATTTTGGCTAATATTACATTAAATATAAAGTCATTTGATTTTTCAGATAGTATATTTGAAGTCAGCAATATTTAAAAATACAATTGGACTTACTGTTTGATCTGGAAGGGGATAACTCTTTCCTAGAATAGTAGAATTATTTTCCTGATAGTGGCCCCCCACCGATTCTTCCCGAAAACTGTTAGAACAGTCAGAGTGTGTGTATTCTTCTATTGAAAGTGTAAAGGTAGAATGCTGCTCACAGAGCGAGCACTTAGAGCGCTTTGCTGCAATGATGCGCCTCTTGTCAGGTGCAAAAACCTGCTAAGGCCTCAGAGGCCGTTGATGGGCGAGGCTTGTAGTTGAGTGTGGCGTCCACTGGGGGGTGACAGAGACCAGAGTAAGATCAAGCAGGGACAAGCCTGAAGGGCCTGAGAGGGACTCTTCCTTGCTTTTTAGGGACTGTTAGAATATTATTTTGTTGGCTTCTTTTTTAAGAAAAAAAGTTACTTAAGAAGAAAATAATAAACATTTTTGCTTTTTTCTAAAATGTATCAAGTTACATTCCTTTTTGTTGAAGCGATTATTCTAATTGTTAGCACTGCCGTAAAAATACCACTTAGGCAAACACCAATGAGAAATATAAAAAATGTGGTATTTTCACAAAAGCATCCCCTACTGTATCTGTGAGGAGTTGTGGTGCCTCCTTACCCTTTAAGGAGTAGGGCAGTAAGTCTTTTTTTTTTTTTTTAAGTTTTAGGGTACATGTGCACAATGTGCAGGTTTGTTACATATGTATACATGTGCCATGTTGGTGTGCTGCACCCATTAACTCGTCATTTACATTAGGTATATCTCCTAATAATGCTGTCCCCCCCTCCCCCCACCCCACAACAGGCCTCGGTGTGTGATGTTCCCCTCCCTGTGTCCAAGTGTTTTCATTGTTCAGTTCCCACCTGTGAGTGAGAACATGCAGTATTTGGTATTTTGTCCTTGCAATAGTTTGCTGAGAATGATGGTTTCCAGCTTCATCCATGTCCCTACAAAGGACATGAACTCATTATTTTTTATGGCTGCATAGTATTCCGTGGTGTATATGTGCCACATTTTCTTAATCCAGTCTATCATTGTTGGACATTTGGGTTAGTTCCAAGTCTTTGCTATTGTGAATAGTGCCACAGTAAACATACGTGTGCATGTGTCTTTATAGCAGCATGATTTATAATCCTTTGGGTATATATCCAGTAATGGGATGGCTGGGTCAAATGGTATTTCTAATTCTAGATCCTTGAGGAATCGCCACACTGACTTCCACAATGGTTGAACTAGTTTACAGCCCCACCAACAGTGTAAAAGTGTTCCTATTTCTCCACATCCTCTCCAGCACCTGTTGTTTCCTGACTTTTGAATGATTGCCATTCTAACTGGTGTGAGATGGTATCTCATAGTGGTTGGCAGTAAGTCTTTATTCCAATTCCTATGTGGGTGTTTTTTGTTGTTGGTGGTGTTTTTTTTGTTTGTTTGTTTGTTTTTGAGACAAGAGTCTCACTCTGTCGCCCAGGCTGGAGTGCAGTGGCGTTCTCGGCTCACTGCAAGCTCCGCCTCCTGGGTTCACGCCATTCTTCTGCCTCAGCCTCTCAAGTAGCTGGGACTACAGGTGCCTGCCACCACGCCCAGCTAATTTTTTGTGTTTTTAGTAGAGACTGGGTTTCACCATGTTGGCCGGGATGGTCTCCATCTCCTGACCTCGTGATCCGCCCACCTCGGCCTCCCAAAGTGCTGGGATTACAGGCGTGAGCCACCACGCCAGGCCTCCAATTCCTGTGTTTTTAGGGAGAGGAAAGGGAAAATAAAATTTTAGGCATGAGACTGTAGTGGAGTGAGCAAAAACATGATTCTGTCTATTGAAAAGAAGCCCAGAATGCAAGCGTGGATAATAAATAGGAATGCTTATTGCCTATATATAGTTTTCTGTTTTGACATCAATTATGTGTGAATGTTTTAGTTACAGTTAGTTGCTTAGGGGTGAAAGGAGATATTTAAACCAAAGACAAGTAGAGCAGTGTTTGTGTGGTGGGGTTAGGGGTGGTAGTTCAAGCAGGCTGAGATAGCTCTGAAAATAGATCACACCAAAATGTTGAATGCTTTATTTGGACCTACTTCTGTGAAGAAGGGTAGAGAATACTAATTGGCATATAAAAATGTTACTGGTGATGGCATTCGTCCTTCTTACAGGGTCTGCATGATGTGTTTTCAGTTCAGTGGAGGTTGAATAATTAATCTCTAGAAAGGAACCGCCTCTGTAATGAAGTCAAGGAGATTTTCCTCTTCATCATAGTAGAGGCCAGATCCTGGCATGGCGTCCTTGGGTTCCGTATTGCTGGTGGAGCCGAGGCCTCTGTCCCTACAGAGGCTGTGAAAAGCCAGCGAGTCCCCGCGGGCCCTCCATGAGGTTCCCTGCGGCTGCCTCCATCCTCCACCTTCTCCATCCTCATGCCCTCTGCGCTGCTGGCTGCTTCTCTGGTCCTCTCCATTACTTGCCTTCCGTGACCTCCCCGCCACGTCTTCCTTCTTCCTCACCTCTCCTTCACTGTCTCCGCCCCTTCTTGCTTCTCCTCCTCATGAGAGGCACAGCGTTACTACCTCCACAGCGCTGCCCCGGGGGCCTGAGGGCCTCCCTGGAAACGTAAGCTGTATATACACTGCTCATTGTGGAATTTCTGAGAATATTACACTATTCAGAGGTGTTAGGCAGCTGTGGGAGAAATGTGTAGATGGCATAATCGCAGCGTTAGCATCAGCAAATGTTCATGGGAGATGGACGTTGGTGCAGGTATCATGAGCGTGCACGGGCTATACTTGTTAGTATTTAGCCTGCTCCCTGGCCATGGATCACTCTAGAAAGCAGGAGTGAGCTGGCACTGTTTAAAGTGAAGCAAACCCCAGCCCTGTAGTCTGATCTGGGCACTTGGGAATGCCCATCCCCCACTGTGCGGGGCCTCCAGCCTCACTTGGTTTATTGTCTTTAAAATGTGGAGGAATGGGTTTTTCAGCACCTGTATTTGAAAGGCTTTCTTATATCCCTGTCTCCTGCCTTTTGCATCCTTATTGAAAATCTCTGCAGAGCAAAGAGGCCATAACCTCTAAATGTTTTTCTACAGTTGAGGTATTTGCCATATTCCTCTTAAACAGTAGTTCCTAAAGAGAGGTTATCATTTAGGAATGGATTAGAGGCAGCGTCATTTTGTCTGTACTGGATTTCTTCCCCCCCGAACCCTGCTACATCTAATTTCTTAGCAATATGGATCTTGGATATTTATAACCCTCAGGTTTCTGCCTGTGTATATGGACAGTGTGTCATTACTCTAACTCATATGAATAGTTGAGTGAACGAACATTGTCAACACCTTCCTTGTGATTGTATTATGCTTTTAGATACTATGGGAAGGAATACAAAAGAAGTAAGTAGGTTATAGCCTACTAGGGGGAGGGAAAAGATATTAGGGGCTGCCATGAAAGAACTTTAAGATGCTGCTTTTTGGACATTGCAGAACAGCCACAGATTGTTTTTCCCCAGTGTGCATTTTGGCCTCTTGTCCATTCAATAAATGGAACGTGTTAAACTTTTCCTTTAATTCTAATATGATGCATAGATGTGTGATGTGTAGACTATTAGGCCCTCTTCCTTAGAGAGAGACATTTCTGTGTTTACTGGAATATAAAGTAGAATTAATTATAAGGTAAATATTTTTCTTACTCCTTATATTAAAAAATTAAATCTCCTACGTATGTATGACACATACCTTTGCATTTTGTTTTGTGCCTGAAATTACCACCTCAGTCCTTCCATTACTTCTCAATTGGTTTTTTCTTTCTCCTAAGAAACACATGCCTTATATTGGTAATTCTACATTTTACTATGTGTCCAGCTCAGTCTTTACTGATATGTGCCTCCTCTGTGGCTAAAGGATTCCAGAATGAAAATCTGTGAATATCACAACATAGGAATAGACCATGCCATGGCAACATTTTCCTCAAAGGTGTTCCGCATTTTTCCCACACCTCCTCCCCTCCACTCCCACGCTACAGTTTATTGTTTCCTGCACCACACTGGTGTTTTATGAAACCATCTTGCTGCTGTCCTTGACCTCTCTTCCCTACCCTGTCCTTGTAACTAACGCCAGCCAAGGGCCTCTGTGTATTTGAATGAGAACTAGGGGAAGGACAGGACCACTCCTCTGAGTGAGGGGTGTAGGCAGTAGTCCAGTAGTGTTTCGCTTCCATGTTTTCAGTGAAAAAGAGGTTTTAGAATGAGAACATTTGAATAAATATTGATAGGAGGAACTTGAAGCCAAGTGCGGCCAAGCTGTGACTAAGAGACCCTGGAACATACCATTCGACTGAGTGAACTGTGATTGACAGTCATCTGGGAAAGGATGTGGAGCCAAGCAGGTGTTTGAAGGGCAGCGATAAGAAAAATGTAGTTCCACTTTTTACAGAGGATTAAAGTTGAATAATGTAAATCACAGACAAGTAAACATGATGCCTGTCTGAGGCAAGAATCAATAAATGGATTAATTAAAAATGGATTTTTGATCACTCAGAAAGCAAAGAAGGTGATCACTCATCATGACTCCATCAAGCGATGCCATACTTGATTAATCTGACTTTGTTTTTTGGTAAGATTGCTCATTTAATGAATTGGAAGAATGCCATCAACAAAAGTAAAGTGTCTGGCAAAGTCTTAAAATACTTTTTTGGATAAGCTAAAAATATTTTTTACAAGTCATACACCAAAACTGCAGATTTATGTCATCCTACCTGTAGAACAGTATTCTGTGCTTTTAAACTTCATACTTCTCTGTTACTCAGATTAATACATGTTTACAGCAGAAAAAATATGTAGTACTTAAGGAAAAATAATCATTCAATCTAAGAGCATTTAAAAACTATATTAATGACTACTAGCGTTTATTTCTTTCAGTCATTTTTGTAGACATATGTATTGATTTATGCCTGTATGTCATTCATAGTAAATGAGATTATACTACACATATTGTCTATAACTTTCTTTTTAACTAGTTAGTGTTAAAAATACATTAATATGGCAGTAGGCTGCTACAAGTTTCTATACCTTATTTCACCATATTTTTGTTTCATAATTGTTACTGAATTTCACAAATCCTCTATGCTGAGGATATAAGTTTTCTAAAAGAATGCAGTTTTGAACATCCTTATAGCAAATATTTTGCATATCCCTTAATTGTCTTAGGATAAATTCTCAGAGGTGGAATTCCTAGATCAAACATTTCAATATGCATTGTCAAATTGGAGAATTTGTTTCTCCAAGCCCACAGTAGTGAGATATACCAATTTAGAAGTATTTTAATTTGCATTTTTCTGATAACTTGTGATATATTTACCTGCTCTTTTCTTCTTTGAGTTTCCTGTTCATATTCTTTATTTAATTTTTCTATATAGGGCATCCTCCATTTCCTTTGAGAGTTCTTTACCTTTTAGAGAAGTTAGGGTGCTCCATTTTTGTTCTTACTCAGTTCAGTACTTGTTACCAGTCACTTGGATGAAAGCATTGGTAGCGTGGTGTTCAGATTTGTGGATGGCGTCACATGGGGAGGTATAATTAATGTAAAATTCCAGGGAGATCCCAGATTGAAATGATGAGTCTAAGTAAGATAAATTGAGATAGGAATCAATGTAAAGCACTTTGAACCTGTCTAAAAACAGCTACCCTCATGAGCTCCTTAATGAACTTTCGGTCAACAGTGGACTGCATATAGAATGCTGGCCCTGTGAGCCGAAAATAGCGTATTTTCACTGTCCCATTTCTATCTTTAGATTCACAAATACCTACCACTGTGTTCCAGTGACCCTGCAGTATTGAGTACAGTAACATGCTGTATGTGTTTGTAGCTGAGGAGTAGTAGGCTGTATCATAGAGCCTCGGTGTGCAGTAGGCTGTGCCATCTAGGTTTGTATTAGTGCACTCTGATGTTCACACGGTGATGAAATTGCCTGACAACTTATTTCTCAGAACATATGCCTGTCATTAAGTGATGCATGACTGTATAGAGTAATAGCAACTACCAGTTCCTAAGCATCTTCTATATGTCGGGAAATATGCTAGGTTTTTCTTTATATATTAACTCTTATCCTCATAGCGGATCTATAAAATAGATATTGCCGTTTTCATTTATGGATGAGAATTCTGAGACTCCCAAGTTCACACAGCTTATTGTGGCAGATTCAAATTCAGGTCACTTGTTCCTGTTGACCCTGCTGTTCCCACTGTGCCTTGGAGACACACAGCTTAACAACATTTGGGAAACATTGTCTCTAAAGGGAGGGCAGTACAGTGTGACCGCCAGATAGCTGATACACTCTCCACTACAGTGTTCAGGATGAGGGAAGTAATCGCCCATCTTAGTTCAAACCTAGAATATTGCTTAAATTCTGGGTTACCACACTTAAAAGGGGTATGATTTTACTTGATTATCATCAATAAATAGTGATAGCTGAGTGTCTAGGGAAAACACTTTGGAAGCCGAACCCATGTTAACCATTCTCAGGAATAAATTGGTGACCACAAGACATAGAAAATTGCATACAGAAATCTGCAAAGTATTGGAACTCTAAATGCCCCTATAGGGTTGTTACTGCCTGTGTCTACCTTCCACATTTGCTTTGCCCAGTTGTTTTTTTGATGGGGTTGTATAAAATACATTTTATTATAATCACTGTAGTTTGTTTCATTACATTGTTGACACTGAAAATGTGCTAGGACCATACAAGCAAATTATCACAAATAATGAAGTAGGTGACTTTTTGCTAACAGAAAAAGGCAGTCCCTAAAATTTATTTAAAACAATCCAGTTTTGAGATTGGGGATATAGAGCTAAGGGTAGCTGCCCTTAGAAACGCCTCATGTCAGGTGAATTGAGTTTTCATTAATTGAGAATTGAGAATTGATGCAGACTGAAACATGGAACTCAGAATCTGGGCACCTCCAGGCAGCACTGAGAGCAGCTTGGGTGCTTCCGCTGCCAGCACGGTGTGGGGAGAGCACGTACAGGCACAGCAGCAGTAGCAGCAGCAGCAGCAGCAGACCAGCTGGAAATCTATTCCTTTTTTGGTTTTGTTTGTTTTTTAAATACTGCTATGGAGAATCTTAAAAGACATTTTAAATTATTTCATGTGAGCTAAAAAGTTGGTGGCTCTCTGCAGGCCAGTGAGTGGTGGAGAAGTGAGGCAGCTTCCAGGGCTCAGTGTGACAGTCTCTGCAGCGAATCCAGTTTTGCCCCTGTGACAGTGCATCTTCAGGCATGCATTCACCACTCTGGGCGTCACAGTTTTCCTTTTCTTTAATGGTTATGTTTTTCATCAGGTTTCTTCTTGCTAACCTGAAAAGGATGTTTTGATGATTGGCTGATATTGCTGTCTGATGGAATATCAGCCAGCCACTGAATTAGCCAATCAGATTACTGGGTTCTGCCCTTAGAAAACTGTCAGACAGTGAGGACTAAAGGAAAGTTTATAAATTCAGTCTTTCTATTATTCATGTCTTTATATCTTCTTGATAAATTGTGTTTGTTGGGATTATTTGCCTACAGGGAAGAAGGCATTCATATATTTATCTGGGACTAAATGGATGACTACCTATTTGTAGAGCTGATAGAAAAAAACTTTTGGAGGAATCTGGATAGGTTTTAATTTTATTTTTATTGCTACTTTTTAACCTGATGTGCTGAATAACTACTTGAAGTATTCTTGACTTGCTAGTATTTAAAGTCTACTTTCTCCATTCCTGGCATTTCAAGGTTATTTCACATACACATTCATAAAACAAAGAAAACTTTTCTGAATTACAAGCATTTTAAAGTTTGGGTTGCCAATTGAAATAATTGGTCCACATATTATAAAATATATTTCTTACCAAAAGGTATAAGAACAACGTGGGTTCTGCCAGCTGTTCCAGAATAGGATTTGCCTGTGGCTGTCTCAGGCCAGGAGTTATGCTATGCGCTGCTTGCTCTTTCACAGTTCACATCTAACACATTGAGCAGGTGTGCAGATACTGCCTTAACAATTACCCAGGAAGCAACTTCTTCTCACTGCCTCCACGGTGGTATAGTGGAGGAGGAGGATCAAAGGCTCTGGAATCAGCTTAGGGTTTGAATTCTGGACCTGTGACTTGCTAGTGGTGAGCCTTTGGGCAGGTTAGTTTCTGCCTCCATTTTCCATCAAAATGTGGGAAAATAGTAGAGCCCTGCACTGTCTGCCTATCGCAGGCCTTACAGGTACAGCTTTCTGAGCAGTGGCCAGCGCGCAGTGACTGCCTAGTGAGTACCAGCCATTAGTGTCACATCATTCAGTAGTACCACAATCGAAATCCCGGCCACCATTAAAGTTATTTTTCTAAGATAGACATGAGGTCGTGTAATTCTTCTGCTGAAAAGCCTCTAGTATTTTATAGTTAACTTGGAATAAAATCCAGATTCCTTGCCGCACTCTTCAAGGCTGCATGTGTGCCTGCCTGTCCCCGACTCAAGGCCCATGCTCAGAGGACCGCCTCCTTGCTGGCACTCTCCTGCTCTGTACATTTGGCCTAATTGTGAGTGTTGGTATGTTTTAGTATCAGTCTCTAAAAAACACCTCTCATCAGCTACCAACTTTCTGTGGTATAAACAGTGTGTGTAAGTGGTATAAACAGTGTGTTGTATGACAGTGTGTTGTATGTCAGCGTGTATCTGTGCACAGATGAAAAGCATGCCATTGTTACTAATGGATTGCTTCAACTGGCTACTGTTTACTCGTGTATTATCTTACTTAGCCTTTCTCTTTCTTTTCAGGTAAAGAGGATGAATATCCAAAGAAGCCCTTGGGGCAGCTTCCACCTGAACTTCAGTCTTGGGGCGTCCATCACTTGAGCAACGGACAGAGGAGCGTGGGCCGGCCGAGCCCGCTGGCCAGCGGCAGGAGGGAGAGCGGGGCGCCCCACAGGAGGCACGAGCACTCCCCGCACCCCCAGAGCAGGACCGGGACGCCCGAGAGAGCACAGCCGCCAAGACGGAAATCGGTGGAGGAGGAGAGCAAAAAGCTTAAAGATGAGGCAGATTTTCAAAGAAAACTCCCATCGGGTCCACAGGACAGTTCCAGGCAATATAATCACGCAGCTGCCAACCAAAATAGCAACGCCACTTCAAATATCAGGAAGGAGTTTGTGCCCAAATGGAATAAACCGTCAGACGTCTCAGCTACAGAGAGAACTGCCAAATACACCATGGAAGGCAAAGGTCGAGCAGCGCACCCCGCGCTCGCAGTTACCGTCCCAGGTCCTGCCGAGGTGCGGGTGTCAAACGTGCGGCCAAAGATGAAGGCCCTGGATGCTGAGGACGGGAAGCGGGGCTCCACTGCATCGCAGTACGACAACGTGCCAGGCCCGGAGCTGGACAGCGGCGCTTCCGTGGAGGAGGCGCTGGAAAGGGCTTACTCCCAGAGCCCCCGGCATGCCCTTTACCCTCCTAGCCCGAGAAAGCACGCTGAGCCAAGTTCTAGTCCATCAAAAGTATCCAACAAGTTTACTTTTAAAGTACAGCCTCCAAGTCATGCACGATATCCGTCCCAGCTAGATGGGGAAGCCCGAGGGCTAGCTCATCCCCCCTCCTACAGCAATCCCCCCGTTTACCACGGAAACTCTCCCAAACACTTCCCTACTGCCAACAGCAGCTTTGCTTCTCCACAGTTTAGCCCTGGGACTCAACTGAATCCTTCCAGGAGACCTCATGGTTCTACTCTTTCCGTCAGTGCTTCTCCGGAGAAATCTTACAGCCGCCCAAGCCCCCTTGTACTGCCGTCTAGTCGAATAGAAGTCCTCCCTGTTGACACTGGTGCTGGGGGATATTCGGGCAATTCAGGGTCACCAAAGAATGGAAAATTGATCATTCCACCAGTGGATTACTTGCCAGATAACAGAACATGGTCAGAAGTTAGTTATACATACAGACCTGAGACGCAGGGACAATCATGGACCCGAGATGCTAGCCGTGGCAATTTACCAAAATACTCAGCCTTTCAACTCGCACCCTTTCAGGACCATGGCCTCCCTGCAGTTTCTGTAGATAGTCCCGTGAGATATAAAGCTTCACCGGCCGCAGAAGATGCCAGTCCATCTGGATATCCATATTCAGGGCCCCCGCCTCCAGCCTACCACTACAGGAATCGGGACGGGCTTTCCATCCAAGAGTCAGTGTTGCTGTGAGATTTGACGTGTACTTGCTAAAGACGAGAGAGAAACCACGTGAAACCTACATTGCTATGTTCATAATTGCCAAAGCAGTATTTATACTATTGTAAACAACTCGCACATCTCTCCTGTCTGTTAGTAGTAAGAATACAGGGAAATGTCTTCAGCCCCACGTAGATGCTGCTTAAGATGAGCGTTTCAATTGCATCATCACTGACCTGTTAGAATTTAACCCGGAAACATCGCAATAGCATTTAGGGATGCACGCACAGTGGTAATTTATTACTCAGTTCCGGTTATGTTTTTCTCCAAAACCTGAACATTTTTACTCTGTTGGCTCATTCTATTTTGACTAATGTTACAAAGTACTGAAAAAACTGTAGAATAGATATTTTTAAGGCTATATGTAGTGTATGTGTCTTTTAATAGATATAGGCATCTGTTCATCCACATTTGAACACAGAGCTAAAGAAACGTTTTTTAAAAAACTACTTTTAATCCAGATCCATGGAATAATATGTAATTCTTGTTTTCCTTGTCTTTTAGTCCAGTTTTTCTTTTTCCCTCTCATATATTTGTAACCTGGGTCCTAAACTGACTGAAGAGTTTGTCCTGACTTTATTAATTGCAGTCTCACAGAATGCTCATCATTCTCCTTCAGCTGTTGCCATTTTCTTTCAATCTGAAAATTAAAGACATTGGAGAGAAAGGCTAACCACTTAATGGTGCTTAAAAATCGGGGCACTTAAAATAAGTTTACGGCCAAAGGTGCAGCAGTGCTTATCACATCCACATACTAAGAGATTGGTCTTAGTGCGTTTGTGCCCTTTGTTCTGGTCTGACTCTTGCGAATCTCAGAGCAGGAGAAGTTGCAGCTTACTGATCCCTCAGTGCTCACAGTACTCATGTGGGGCAGCCACACTAACTGCATTAGCAGTGTGGTTACTTCTTTCTTCTGCCTCGACTCACATGGCTTCTCCCCACGAAGGTCCCAGGGTGGCCATTTATACAATCCATTTCTGTCCTCTTTATGGAATGTAGTCGACGGATATTGCTGCACCTCATCAGGCCATTACATTGTCCATGTTAAAATTATAAAAATGATCCTAGTTTTTCATAGGAGTCTAGGATTTTGATCTTTTAAAAAATACAGTGTGATTTCATGCTTTTGAACATCTTTTTTTCATTGAAACAAATTCAAGTTCTTGGCTTAAAAAAAAATTAGTGATGTCTTTAAAAAATATTCTGTTACACTACAGATACCAAAACACTGACAAAGATTTAGGCACTCCAAGAGAGTATGACTTCGTGTTTAATTGGGGAGCTTGTTTTCAACATTGCTTATATTTGAATAGTAGAAAACCCGACATTGATGTTTCTTCCTGTTGCAAGGTGGGGCTTTAAACTTTCAAGGTACAAAAGTATGTCTTTTAAAATGGAAGTAACGTTTGTTTAGCTAGTGAATGTGACAATATATTTTATGTATATAATGAGTCTAATGTAATTTTGATCAACTTGGTAATGATGTTATTAAATAGCAAAACAAGTGCAGTGTATTAAAGCTAAACACTACATTGAAACGCAAACAAAATTCTGGTGAAATAACTGGGCTGTTGATGCAGGTCAGGTGGAAGCTGAGAAATAAATGTATATAAATATGTAGCTGAGGATATTAATTCCCATTATATAACCATAATTCTGTGACTTGTAATAAACCAAGCTGTACAATTTAGTTTATAATAGCAGTATCTGAGCTGCTCCAAAATATATATATCAACAGTGGTAAATACTGTAGATTTTTATATATATATATATATATATATATATATATGCAAAAAATATATATATACACACAAGCACTATTTTCTTATGTCATTTATGACATTTTTTATCTGTATACTTTTTTGATGTGATTGTTTTTTAACATGCTAAAAGTAATAAGTATATTTTGTGTCTTTTATGTGCATTTTTTTCATACGGCAAAAATGGTGCACCCCCTGATGCTTTGAAGGCTAATTCTCTTCTAATGGAGTAGCTGTTGCCTAGTATTCACCTGTGTTACTTTGTATATGTCACAGTTCTATGTTTAATGCTTTACTAATTTCCAGTAAGACTATATTTAAAACTACATAGTCTTTCCTTATTTTATTTAGTATGACATTGTCAATAGTAATAAGGTAGCATTTCTAGTCTTCCTCATTACAAAATGTAGCTGTTTTCTAAGTAGGAAAATGTAATTTGAAATTATCTTGCCACCATACAGTTTTACTTTTTCAAATTTATTTTTTAATAAGAGATAATGAAATAATGATATAAAAAGATTGGTAAAGTATATTTATGAAAAACCCATTTAGTACAGATTTTCATAGTGTAGAGACTGATTTTGCCCTGTAACTGCATGTACATGGTGTATTTTGCCATTAAGTCTTTTATTTGTGGCAATTTTGCCTTAGTAGGCGCTTGGCGTAGTTTCTATTTTATAGAATATTTAGTCTGAGAAGTTAAAGAAACTAGACCTAGGATCTCAAAAGTTTTAAAACTTTGACGTTTTCATATGTTTGTTTATTAATAGGATTTTAAAAAAAATGAACATCTTTTTAAAGCTGGGAAATGTATATAAATTCAGGTATCAGTATCAATAATAGACTGTTTCATTGAAAGAATGAAAAGAGGCCAGGTGAAGTAGTAATTTATAAATTTAGTATTTGCAGTGGTTCACGCCTGTAATCCCACCACTTTGGGAGGCCGAGGTGGGCGGATCACGAGGTCAGGAAATCGAGACCATCCTGGCCAACATGGTGAAACCCCATCTCTACTAAAAATACAAAAATTAGCTAGGCGTAGTGGCATGTGCCTGTAATCCCAGCTACTCGGGAGGCTGAGGCAGGAGAATCGCTTGAACCAGGGAGTCAGAGGTTGCGGTGAGCCGACATCACGCCACTGCACTCCAGCCTGGCAACAGAGCAAGACTCCGTCTCAAAAAAGTGAAAAGAGATTCAACCAAGAGGACAGCTCTGGAGCAGAAAAATACATGTTTATAGGATGCGATTGTTTCAACTTTCTTTTTCCATTTTAAGAAGATTCCATTTCGGAAGAAGATGCCGAAATTTACAAATTTCGCCATACTCAGTGGGACTCTCAAGTAGACTTTCATAGTTGCAGTCACTTCAGGTCTCTCCCTCGGGTTCCCTTAGGATGCAAGCACAAGAACAGACACCTGGTCAGCATGGTGCTGAAACCCCTTTCTCTTCACTGTCATGGTGCGAGAAAAGCATGCCATGTCTACGAGTAGGATCTCTTCACGGAGGACCTGCAGCTTCATCTTCTGGATTGGAGATTATTCTTGGTTATGTTTTGGAATCAGTCCTTTATCTTAGTGTGCACTTGATTGTGAGTTTTAAGATTATGGTTTTAGGATTTCTTTTATTTTTTGTCTTTTAAATTGTTCTTTAATGGATTTTAAATGTCTGTATCTAATGTGGGTATTAATGCTTTTTGGCCAAGTGGATTTTAAGAAGTGAAACTTTTTTTTTTTTTTTTTTTTTTTGAGATGGGGTTTCACTCTCTCACCCAGACTGGAGTACAGTGGGGAGATCTCAGCTCACTGCAGCCTCTGCCTCCCAAGTTCAAGCGATTCTCCTGTCTCAGCCTCCCAGGTAGCTGGGATTAAAGGTGCCCACCACCACACCTGGCTTTTTTTTTTTTTTTTTTTTTTTTTGTATTTTTAGTAGAGACAGGGTTTCACCATGTTGGCCAGGCTGGTCTCAAACTCCTGACCTCAAGTGATCCACCTGCCTCGGCCTCCCAAAGTGCTGGGATTACAGGTGTGAGCCACTGTGCCCAGCCCAAACTTTTAAGATGACCCAAAGTCGTGAGAATAGGAAAAAGGAATCTGATTAACATTTATGCATTTTATTTTCAGAAGGACTTTCAGTTATCCATAAATCTAAGCATAACTGCTACCATTTATACATGAGAAAATGACAGAGGAACTAATATAAGAGCAGATCTTGACCCTTGCTGGGTCACTATAATTCTTTAGAATTACTGAGTGAACTTTAAAAAAATTTTCTGCATAGGTTATATCCCAGACCACTTAAATCAGAATATCTTGGATGGAACCCAGACATCAGATTATTGTATTTTCCCCCATAATTTAAAGTTCAGTCATTAAGCTGTTACATCCCTCTGAAGTTGATTGTCTTATATTCCCGCTATGAGATATCTCAAAGATTCTTAATCAAGAGTTTCAGAGTTTAGAAACTCGGATGTTGGGCAAGTTAGGAAATATTCCACCAGCAAAATTAACATTACCAGCCATCTCTGCAAATGCTCCTGAACTGCTGACAGTTACGGCATCAAACGGAAGACGGCAGGCCCTGTCCTTCCACTCAGGTGCTGCTTGCAGTGCTCCTCAACAGAGGGAGAGTCTCCCTAAGATTTCCATGTTCCTAGACAAAGTCCTAAGCTGTTTGGAAGTCTGTGAGCATTTTCAGTATATGAGGAGCTGAGAAAGCGCTGCCTGTCTGGTCCTTCATTTGGCCAGCTAACATTCTGTCGAGCACCTGCATTGTGCTGGATTCATGCTTCCAGATGTGAGATGTGTGTTCTAATCTGACAGTGTGTTTTGTAATCTGTCAATCAGTGTTGGAGATATGCCCAGGCTATTACAGGCATATTATGGACAAATATAAAGGCCAACTAGTGATCCCAGCCCAAGAGGTTCAGGGAAGTCTTATGAAGGATTTGTCTCAGCTGAGCCTGACAGGACAAGCATATAGAAAGACAAGAGGGGGAGAGAGCAGGGCATTCTGCAGAGGGGACCGATGGCAAGAGCAGCTGCATGGGATGTGTGAGGAAATTTGCCACTGTGATGTGTATGTGGGGTAGGCATGGGGGTGGACAGGGGTGACGGGCTCCACAGAGACAGGATGGTGGAGGGAGTTGTGTGCAGTTGAACTTGATCCTGTAGTTGGTTTTGACCTGGTGTGGTCCCTCCATGCTGTGGAAGTGAAATGTGAGGGAACAGGCCTGGGGGCAGTGAGGGAGACAGGACAAGCCTTTCATCTAAAAGGTGGCACAGAGCTTAAGGCCAGGGAAGAAGGTATGAAGAAAAGGTGATTGAGAACTAATTACCAAGGGAAACTGGCAAGACAACTGGATGCGTGTAATCCGAATGGTCATAATGAGACAACAGCTAACACTGAATGCTTGCTGTGTGTTTGGCACTCTGCTAGACGTTTTACTGGTATTAACCGATTTAATCCTCACAATAACGAAGTATGTACTACTATAATTGCCAGTTTACAGACGAGAAAACTAAGGCACAAAGTTTAACTTGCCCCAAGCGACAGAGTGGATAAGTAAAAGGGCGAGGACTGGGACCCTGGTACTCTGAATGAAGAGCCTGTGCCTCCCTCTCTCCCCTAACAGTTTTAAGGAGATACAATTTACCTGCCACAAAATTTACCCATTTTAGGTTTATACTTAGATGGTTGTTCAGTAAGTTTATAGAGTTGTGCAACTATCACAACCAATGTTAGAACAACTCAAAAAAAAAAAAAATCTTATTCCAGTTTGCAATTAAGCCCCATTTCCATTTCCACACAGCAACTGATCGGCTTTCTGTCCTTCAGGTTTGCCATTTCTGAACATTTCCTATAAATGGAATCAGACATGGTCTTTTGTGTCTGGCTTCTTTCACTCAGTAATGTTTCTGAAGTTCCTCCCTGTAGTGGCATCTATCAGTAATTGCTTTCCTTTTTATTGCTGGGCTGAATGCTGTTCCATTGTATGGCTGTGTCAGATTTTGTTTGTTCATTCACCAGTTGATAGACATGTAGATTGTTTTCATGCTGCTGTGACCATTTGTGTACAAGTGTTTGTGCAGACATATGTTTAACTTTTTAGGAAATTGCCAGACTGTTTTCCAAAGAAGCTGCACCATTTTACATTTGCACCAGCAATGTAGGAGGGTTCTGATATCTCCACGTCCTCACCAACACTTGTGATTATGTGTCTTTTAAAATTATAGCCATCCTTGTGGATGTGAAGTGGTAACTCATTGTGGCTTTGATTTACATTTCCTTGATAGCTAATGATGAGCATTTTTCATGTGCTTATGGGCCGTTTATATACCTTTGGTGAAATGTCTATTTAAATCTTTTGCTCACTTTTCAGTTGGGTTTTTTTTCTTATTAAATAGTAAGAGTTCTTAATATATTCTGGATACAAGTCCTTTTAAGACATGATTTGCAAATATTTTCTCCCAGTCTGTGGCTTATCTTTTCCTAATGGTGTCTTTTGAAATGCACTTGTTTTTAATTTTAATGAAGCCTAATGTATTAGTTTCCTTATACGAGTTATGCTTTTAGTACTGTATCTCTCTCTGCTTAACTAAAGGTCACAAAGATTTTCTCCTATGTTTTGTTCTGGAAGTTTTATAGTTTTAGCTCTTAAATTTGGGCCTGTGAGCTGTTTTAAATTAATTTTTATATATGGTATGAGGTAAAGATCTAAATTCCTATGGATATTCAGTGGTCTTAGCACCATGTGTTAAAAGGACTGCTTTTCCCCACTGTGTCCCTGTCAAAAATCAACTGAACATATATGTAAGAGTTATTTAAATTTTGAAATTGGGACGTATACATTCTCCATTCTTTTTGACATTATTTTGGCTAATCTGGGTCCTCTGCATTTCTGTATAACTTACAAGGTCTGGTTGTCAGTTTTTGCAAAAAGGCCTGCTGGGGTTTCCATAGGGAATGTTTTGAATCTATAGATGAGTCAAGGAAGAACTGCCATCTTAACAGTATTGGGTCTTCCGATTTATAAACATGGAATGCCTCTCCATTTATTTTGATCTTTAATTTCTCTCAGCAATGTTGTATAATATCAGAATATGTCTTGTACTTCTATGGTTAAAATTAGTACTGCTTTCTCTCGTGAATGGAGCTGTTTTCTTCAGAGCCTTTGCTCTGAAACATCACGCTCCCCTGTATGGGGAGAAGAAGGGTCAAGATGGATTTCTGCAGTTCCTGCGTTGGGCAGTAGGGTGAAGAGTGGGGCCATCATCTCATAAAAGGAATTCAGAAGGTGCTGGTTTAGGTTTAGTGGGAAAACGACTTCTGTTTTGACATGTAGAGTTTGAAGATTAGGAGATTGACAGATGATGTTGTCTGACAGGTGGTTGGCTGTCCCAGAGAGAGATAGAGACTCCCCAGCATGTAGGGGGCAGAGTCACAAGAGTGCTGGCCTGGGAGATATGCCAGCCAAGGTGGGGCACCTGGGACAACAGCACAGCTGAGCCGCAGACACGAAGACATTTGTTAAGTTATCAGCCACGTCTGCATCACAGACTACAGGTACTACCATTTAGCGGAGTTATCTTTGAAAAGACATCAACATCCCTGTGCATTTGTCAGTCTGGTAGAGTGGACTGGAGGTTGTCAAGTCTGCATTGTAGTCTGAGTGTGCCACATGTTAGCAATGTGACCTTGGGCCACACACCTCTTCTGGGCCTTACTTTGCTCTGCTGTAAGGTGTGGGCATTTAAGAGGTACCAGAGGGAAAGGAGCCTCCGAAGGACTCGCAGGGGCAGTCGCAGCTGATGTTTGAGTGCCCTGGGATGGGAGTCAGACTGGCTGAGGTTTCAATTTTGCATTCATGGCCAGCCACCGTTCCAGGTCCTGTTGAGATCATCATGTAACAGGACAACAAAGTCCCTGTCCTCATGGGGCTTATATTCTGATCCATTTCCTCATCTATGAAATGAAGATTGTAGTTTTTATTTCATAGAGTCATGAAGATTGAGTTAATCTCTGAAATATCCACACAGTGTTGTCACTCAGGAATGATTTGGAATGTTAGGGATAGTCACCCACCACCACAGTGCTAGGTTTCAGTGACCAGGAGCGATGTGGAGCTGAGTCTAGTGGGAGTCCAGAGGTAAAGACACAGTAAGGTCACATGTGACCCAGGAGGGAGGAGGCACAGGCAGGGCAATCTGAGGAGACTGTGCCATGGCTGGAGGAGCAGGGGCTCCAGGAAGGAGGCAGCATCTGCACTGGAAATGCAGCAGGAGGGCCCAGTGAGGGAGGCCTGGAAAGTCCACTTGGACTTGACAATGAGGAGCTCTCTGCTGTCACCTGCTGTGATTCCTAGAGTCAGAATCAGACTGCAGTGGCCACAGGCACAAGTGGGAAGTGATGCAGCTCAAAGGTTTGGATGAGATGGGATGTGCAGCGATTGAGTCGTAGCTGGAGCGAAGGATGTGCTAAGTTAGGGATTGGAGGGGCGTGCATTTACATGGGAAAGTAATGCTAATTAGAAATCAGTTGGACTTCAACATTCTCAAGTACTTCCACAAAGCATCCCTTGGTTTTATTCCAGTTTGTTGCTTTACGTATTTGTAAGTATTAAACACCAATTACTAAATTATCTGTAATTCAGATTTGTCATTTGGAGGAAAATCAACATAATCTGAATATAAAGCAGGCAGCATTGAGAAACTTCTACGTATGTGAACATCATTGACTTCGTCGAGCAGTGATTTAAAGTCTGCTCCACATGTAGTAAACAAAGAGGAGATGTGATTTAGAAATAGCATATGTGGGGCCAAGCACAGCGGCTCATGCCTGTAATCCCAGAACTTTGGGAGGCTGAGGCTGGTGGACCACCTCAGGCCAGGAGTTTGAAACCAGCCTGACCAACATGGCAAAAACCCGTCTCTACTAAAACTACAAAAAACTAACCAGGCATGATGGCGCACACTTGTAATCCAGCCTACTCAGGAGGCTGAGGCAGGAGGATCACTTGAACCCAGGAAGTGGAGGTTGCAGCGAGCCAAGATCGCGCCATTGCACTCCAGCCTGCACAACAGAGCTGGAAGGAACAGTGGAGATGATGGAAGGCAGCGGACCTCAACCCTGCTGCAAAGAAGAATCCCCTGAAGTTCTTCTAAAAATACTGATGTTCAGGCCCACCCAAGACCAACTACATCGAATCACTTGTATTTTGGTTTAGAGAGAAGGTCTTGCTCTGCTACCCAGGCTGGAGTGCAGTGGCACAATCATAGCTCACTGCAGCCTCAAACTCCTGGACTAAAGCCCAGCCTCCTGCCCCAGCCTCTTGAGTAGCTGGAACTACAGGCATGAGCCACCAAACCCAGCTAATTTAAAAAGTTTTTATTGTAGTGGTAGGGTCTTGGTATGTTGCCCAGGCTGGTCTTGAACTCCTGGGCTCAAGCACTCCTCCCGCCCCAGCCTCCCAAAGTGCTGGGATTATAGGCATTAGCCACCACGCCCAGTCATCTTTCTTTATTCTTCTAACTCCCATATCTTCTGTTACTACCAGGAAATACCTTAAGATGATATTAGGAGATTTTTACTTAGAGGTTTTGAGTAGGACAGTGGAAAGAACACAGGCTTGAAAACAAATTTGGAGATGAGTCTCAGCTTCTCTACTAAACTGCATGGGACGTCTGGCTCATGAATGAGGTAGGGAAAACGAGGCCTTCCCTGCAGGCTGCTCTGAGGCTTCACCGAGATGATGGACGCGTCTTCCGGTGCCTGGAACAGATGCTCAGGGAAGGCTAAATGATGAATTTAAATGTTCACATAGGGGAAGGGCTAATGCCATTCATATTTAAAAGGCCTTTCTTCCCTTTAGACTTATAAAGTGCCCCCAGATGAAATATGGGCCAAGAACGGTAAAGGAAAATGTAGAAGTGCAAAGTTATTAAGCATGTTCTACATCATCATTAGATAAACTGAAATGGAAACAATCATGGGCAAAGATAATGCTGTTCACGCCCCGCTAGGGAGAAGAAGACTGCATTCCCAAAATGCACCACTTTGTAGCCTCAGAATTTATGTGAATATTGTTTGGTCCAGCAATCCTATTTCTATGGGCAGAAATACAAGTGAGAAAAGATATATGTAAAAGGATGTTTGTTGCACCTTTTTTTTTTTTTTGAGACAGAGTCTCACCCTGTTGTCCAGGCTGGAGTGCAGTGGTGTGATCTCAGCTCACTGCAACCTCCGCCTCCTGGGTTCAAATGATTCTCATGTTGCACTTTTTTTAAAATAGAGAAAAACTGGAAATAAGCTGAATGTCTGTCAGTAGAGGACAGGTTAAATTATGGTACATGCACATAGAAGAAAACCGTTCACCCTCTAAAAACATGTAGGTCACTTTCTATGTACTGGCATGGAAAGAAACCTCTCATTTATTGCCAAGTGAAGAAGAGCTACAGAACAGCATTCACATCTACCTCCCCTGCCTATCCATCCTGACAGCCTCTGACCAGGCTTGGAGCATTACGGTGCCAAAGGTCCTGACTGGACTGGAAAGGGGAGTCGTTGACATGAGCTTGAGGTTCTCCTGGGCCATCAGGAGGGGCGTGAGCTTTGTCTGTGTGAAGACTGGGAGGCTTCTTAGGACATGAAGATCTCAGGACTGATGGTCAGGCACCTGGGATGTGAGAATCAGCCACGGTGAAGTACGGCAGGGAGCTGCGTTGGGGAGAAAGGGGGCAGGGCCCAGGTAGGTGGGAACAGACGGGAGTGGGACAGGATGCACAGTCCCCACGTGGGCACCGCTCAGGTGACAGCCATAACCAGCACTGACAGAGCTGCAGGTGGAACTCAGCCAGCCTGGTCCTCAGGGAGGGTCTCGCAGTGCTGTTCCCTCCTCGACAGTCTTGGTCTTTCCATCTGGGGAGGAAGAAGTGGTGAGAGAACTCAGAGGGGTGACCGGGGGTGCCCTGAAACCAGCTGGTGGTCAGAGGCCCGGGAGTCCTGGAGACCAGGGGACACCACCAGAAGCACACGGAGTGCCCACGGCCAGGGCGGCAGGGAGATGAAGGCACTTCATTGTGTCCGCCATTGAAGCTGAAGGTCAAAGTGATGCTGGGAGCGTGAAAGCTCAACAAGCAATAATCCTAGTTTTTGAAAGGCAGATATCGCAGAGATGGGAAGACCTCAAATCATGGAGGGAGCCTCAGATCAGATGCCTCCTGTTCCCTTCCTGCTGAATAAATCGATGCTGGACTTAAAGGTTTCTTTTTTAAAGCATGGGAAGCCAATCTTTTTATCCCTGGCCAACCCTGATCAGAAACAATGAGAAGGTGTTTATTGATACCAGAAAGGAGGTGGAGGAGGTTTGAAACTCTGACCCATCTTTTAAAAATCACTGGGTGATCTACTAGTCCAGGATAGCCTGTTCTTTTGGATTTCATGAGTTGCTAAAATGCTCTCTGAGACGTGGGGTGCTGTCACAAAGTTGTCCACTCTTACTTTGTCAAGAGTATTTACTGTGAAACCCCTTCTCTTCTAAAAATACCAAAAAATTAGCTGGGTCTGGTGGCGTGTGCCTGTAGTCCCAGCTACTCAGGAGGCTGAGGCAGGAGAATTGCTTGAACCTGGGAGGCGGAGGTTGCAGTGAGCTGAGATCGCACCACTGCACTCCAGCAAGACTCCATCTCAAAAAATAATAAAAAACAAAATTTTAATATATAACACAATTTAAAAATACATAACAGAAGAAAGAAGACCATAAACTCAAAAGCAGTCCTTTACATTGAACATATTTACCCTTAAAAAAATCCTCTTGCGCCGGGTGTGATGGGGACATCCTGAGGGTCCACTGACAGCCGGCCTTTCACTCTACCACCCTGTGTGTGGGACACTGGTCAGGTGAGGCCAGGTTCTTTTTGGCCTCTTCATGCTCAGGCGACGCTGGCCAGGTGACTGGATTCTAGACGGGTCCATTGTCCCCGCTGCTGCCACCACACTTTATCATAAAAGAACTTCTGGGCTTCCCTGTGTTAGTCATTTCTTATCTCAGCTTCTTCTAAGTTCTCGATTCTTCCTGTACTTCCTCTGGCTTCTCTAAGGCTGAACTCAGAGATGATAGTGAATTTTTAAGAATATATTGTACAGTTCCCTTTTCAGGAGCCTGATTAAACTCACACACTCCATCTGGTGCTGCAAAACTTGCTTCAAGCCTGGATTACTTCTCTGAGGTTATTTCCAAAAATCTATTCATAAATTAATAGTTATGGTATGTTTATTAGTTTCCAGGACTTCTAATAGTATATTGATTCTGGGCAGAAGCTTTAGCAGCCGGTTTGGCTAAAGAATTTAATTTTCTACAAACCACACACTCTAATCACATCATCTGGTATCGAAACACACACAAGTTCAGAGGCCCTCGAATGCTCGATGAAGACAAGTCCAGCATCATCTACTGATCTGTCTGTGGTCTCACGACTCGGCGGGACCAGACCTCACCTTTCCCAACTCCTGCTCCATCCCAAAGCCGACCAAAGGCCACAAATGAAGAAAACAGCCGACACTATGCATGCCCCCTGCCTGCAGCCAGACAGCCCACAACTTAAGCGAGAGGACAGAGGCGAGGTATTAGATTGGTGCAAAAGTAATAGTGGTTATTTATATAAATGCAAAACCAACCGACAAGCCCAGTCAGGAATATTCAAAAAATGATATTTTGGCCCAGTTAATATGGGTAAAAATAACCCAACAAAACTTAGGTCTCAATGCATTGCTGTGTACAGCATATAGGTGATGACGTCCCCATGTCACACATTTGTTCATTCACCGTAACGTTATGGACCATCTACCATGTGCCAGTGAGTGTCCAGCAGAATAAAGTTAAATTTTGTTCACTATCCTCCTAAACAAGACCCTAGGCTGGGCGCAGTGGCTCACGCCTGTAATCCCAGCACTTTGGGAGGCCGAGGCAGGTGCATTACCTGAGGTCAGGAGTTCAAGACCAGTCTGGTCAACATGGCGAAACCCTGTCTCTACTAAAAATACAAAAAGTAGCCAGGGGTGGTGGTGGGTGCCTGTAATCCCAGCTACTCAGGAGGCTGAGGCAGGAGAATC
Organism: Homo sapiens; assembly: GCF_000001405.40. Taxonomy (NCBI): domain Eukaryota; kingdom Metazoa; phylum Chordata; class Mammalia; order Primates; family Hominidae; genus Homo; species Homo sapiens. Next base: position 11,449,547 of record NC_000010.11, on the reverse strand, counting down.
ACTTGAACCCGGGAAGGTTGCAGTGAGCTGAGATCACGCCACTGCATTCCAGCCTGGGAAACAGAGCAAGACTCCATCTCAAAAAAACAAAAACAAAAACAAAAAACCAAAAACCAAGACCCTAGTGGAAGCCTTCAGTTAACACTTGCTTAGATGATTTCAATAAATTTCTACTCAGTCTATCTCAAATCTTACCCTTAAACCCCGATTTGGGTTATGTCATTTTCCTGCTTAGAAACCTTCAGTGGCTGCCCCCCACATCAAATTAAATATGCACCACTCGTTCCTCCTGGCTTCCAAGGCTGTCGTGATGTCACTTGTGAACCTTCTTTGCAGCAGGCTTTTTCTGTGTCTGCTGCCTGGGGCCCCAGGGCCTCCTTGGAAATGACTTGAAGGTGGAGGGTTTGGGGGGTAGTGAAATTGCAAGTTTCTGTGCAAATAAGGAGCTTTACTGGCTTAAGAGATCAGCGAAGTGGAACGAACGGCTGGACTCCTAGCCTTGTGGGTTGCAGGTTTTCCTGGGTGTATTTTCAAAGGCTTGATCCGTGTTCCAAACCCCACCGTACCTGCCCTGCAGTGGGAAGAGGACCTTGCCAGTGTGCACAAAGTACACCACCCACCTGCCTACGGGCAGAGGCACAAGGCATGGTTCACTACGAGTGCTTCTGTGTCCTGTCTCTCTTCTCTGTTGCTGTGTACTCCCCTCCCAAATCTGAGACTCTCACCGCCTTGTACCACTTATCTTGCGAACCCCAGCATCCTATCTACATTTAAATAAGGGTGTCAGATCTCGTGTATGGATCTCTATCCAGTGGCCGAGGTTTTTCATAAAACTCTTCTTACCCAGTTTCAGGTTACACAGAATATTTTAGGAAAGGGTTCATTTGAACTGGAAGTGAAACTATACTATCTATTACCCAAGTCACTGATTCTGAAACTTCACTGTGCACACAAAGCACCTGGGGACCTTGCTCCAAAGTCTGATCCCATAGGTGTGTGATTTGCTTCTAGACTCTGTATTTCTTATAAGCTCCCGGTGCAGTTGATGCTGCTACTCTAGGGACCACAGTGTGAGCGAGAAGGATCAATGCCAGGCTTCCTGGAACAGTCAGGAAGAAGTTCAAGTTCCCCAGCCCCACCTCGGGCTGTAGTGAGCGGGGCAGAGGCCCCAGCTGAAGAGGCAGCTGCACGCTGCAGTTCCAGAGCACAGAGTGGTGTCCTTTGCAGAGCTCGCAGAGATGCAAGAGATGCTGTCTGTCTTCCTCCGTGTCCCAGCAGACTTCGTTTATTTCACAGGCTTAGAACCTTTGGAGGCTCTGGTCTGGCTGTTGGAGATGATGCTTCTCATCCTCAGAAGGCTATTTAGCAAGTTCTGGGGGGAAAAGGGTAAATGGCTGCCTTTGGGGGTTTCCTGGAGCAGCTTCCAGCGAGGGGAGAAAGCACCTGTTGACATTTGCTCCCTAACACCTCACTTTTCTTCCCATCTTGCATGCAGATAGGCCAAAGCATGTTAGTGACCACTCTTGGGCAGATGACACCCACTCCTCCTTTACTGCATGATGTGCGGTTCCACAGCAAAGGGAGATAATGAAATTTAGCTTAAGCAAGCTGTAGGTTGGAAGTTATAACCTACCTAATTCCTTAATTAAGCTATCAATTAAGGCTGTGTCGGTGCCACCTGCTATGCCTGGGCTTGGTGCCACGTGGCAGTGCCAGCTCCGACAAGCCCCTCCCTGCCGAACCCAGAGCTCCTGCCAGTCTTGACTCACTGCTCCCTTGCTCTCCCCACTGCATCTCCCCGGGACTTTGTAAGGGCCACGTGGAGCCAGGCTGCCCCCCTCATTTCTCATGCCTGTGGGGTGACAGAATATTCGGGGCAGCCAGCAGACCTCAGGTGGGCCTTCGGAGGGCCCTGACTTCCCCCAGGAGAACATCTGTGCTGCCTGTCTGCCCAGGAAGGGACACCTTTATTGCCTTGGAGGCCCCAAGCTTCAACCCAGGGAGCCACCTACGGAAGAGGGTAGCGAGCTCCAAGAGAAAGAAAGAAGGGGTTCAGGGAAGAAAGGAGGGCCCTAGGGGATAACTTCTGTGCACATTTATCTTTGGAATCTAGATGGGATTTCAGTAGCATGTGCTGAATGAGTCCATGGGTGAAAATAGAAAGCAAGGAGGAAAGAGCTGTTGAACCGCTTAAGGCTCTTGCCCTAAACATGCATGGGGGGAGCAGCCAAAACATCTGTGACAGCACCCTCCTGAGAAGGTGACGGTAGCTCACTCTTTGGGGTCACAGTGGCCTCCTTCAGGTTGCAGAGCTTGAGGCTCTGGTTGATATCAGACTCTGGACTAAAACCTTATCCTGGAACCTCCAGCTTCATGCGATTCTAATCTGCAGGCTGTTGGTACATGTGGGCCACACATTTGCCCTGCTGTGAGCAAGTGGTGGTGGTGGTGAGTTAGGTAGGAGACCTGCCCGTGACGTGCCAAGGAGACTCCCAGTGAACTGGCATCCCAGAAGGAAGACTTGACCTCCAGCCTCGCTCACCTTGGGCAAATATCTTTATCCAAAGAGGTTAACTCTGTTCTCACTTGACCATGAGGATGATGTCTAAGATCAGAGGAAGTATGAGCCATGTACTAATGGTGACCACACTGCACACCCCACTAAATGAAAGATGAAGGCAGGGCCACCCGGGAGCCAGCGTACTTCCCTTCCCCACTGGGGAGGCACCAAAGGTCTGTCTGTTTCAGCTTGGAAACCAAGCGAGGGTACATGATCAGCTTGGATTTTTTTCCAATCATTTGAGGCAAAGTAGTGTGCCATCTCCCTCCCTCCCTCCCTCCCTCCCTCCCTCCCTTCCTTCCCTCCTTCCCTACCTCCCTCCCTGCCTCCCTTCCTCAACATTCACTCCGCATTTGCTCTGTGTTTGGCACTGATTCTAGGCACTGGGGATACAGCAGTGCACGCCACACCCTTGCGTATCTTCCCTTCCGGTGGGGGAAACAAGGCAAAGGGAGCCCCAAGTCAGTTAGACCGTGGTGAGGGCTGAGGGAACCACCCCAGACAGAGGAAGCGTGGAGAATGCTGGGGATGGGTGGTGACTTTAATTTGGGTGGTCAGGGAAGACCTCCCTGAGAAGCTGAGCTTTGAGAAGAGGCTGGAAGCCATCTAGATATTTGGAGAAGATTCAGGCAGTAGGAATAGCAAGTGCACTGTTCTGAGGCAGGTGTGGGCCTGGCAAGCTCCAGAAAGAGCCTGCAGGCCAGTGAGGCCAGGCCACCACGGGAAGGAAATAGGGAACAGAGGAGCACAGAGACTCTGACGCAGGGAACAGACCACTAGGTCGTGAGATCAGGAGAGGACTGGGCTTTTACCTGAGAAACATGGGGAAGCTGTTGGTGGATTCTGAGCAAAACACTGATGTGACTTCTGTGCTGACACACTTCGTCTGGCTGCTGGTCGAGAGGACTAGGGTGGTGGGAGTGGGTGGATGTGTGAGGGGTGCAAAGTCTTGGCTGCAAACCAAGGGAGTGGATGACAGCTGGGTCAGGGTAATAGAGGTGAAGGGGGGAACATGGTCAAAACTGGGTATATGTTGAAGACAGAAGCAAAAACTTTGCCATTGGGCTGGATGTAGACTGTGGGGAGAAGGCTTTCTGGGTTTTGGGGTTGTTTGGCTGAACAAGTCAAAGTGGTAAGGTGCCATTCACTGGGTTGGGGAGATGGGAGGAGCAGGGGGATATCAGGAGTGCAGCACGGGACATGTTACACTTGAGATGACGCCTAATGTGAATAGGAATAGCCCACATATGCCGGGCGCGGTGGCTCACGCCTGTAATCCCAGCACTTTGGGAGGTAAGGCAGGCGGATTGCTGAGCCCAGGAGTTCAAGACGAGCCTGTGCAACATAGCGAAACTCCCTCTCTACAAAAAAGTTTTTAAAAAAGTTAGCTGGGCATGGTGGTGTGCATTTGTGGTCCCAGCTACTCAGGAGGCTGAGGTGGGAGGATCACCTGAGCCCTGGAGGTCAAGGCTGCAGTGAGGCCATGATTGCACCACCGCACTCCAGCCTGGGCGACAGAGTGAGACCCTGTCTCAAAAAACAGACAGACAAACAAAACAAGAAACAGCCCACATTTATGAGGCCCCTGTATGCCAGGCACTGTGCAAAGCATTTTACACAAATCATCGCATTTGACCCTTACAACAGCATTACTATCTTCTCTATTTGAGAAATAAGAAAATCGGTCGTTTTGCCCATTCACAGTCTTACCAGGCCTCATGCAACAAAAACATAGATCTTGCCTGTTTACCTTTTCTGTTCTAACCAGACGATTTCCTGGTCGGTGCTGGCTCCTCACTGTTAATGAAGATGTGAGTTGTCGTCCTGCTGAGCAGCAGCGGACATTGGAGTTCTGCTGCTTTGTTCTGCTCTGCGAGCCCATCCTGCTCCGTGAGCACTCCAGGGTGTCAGCCAGCAGTGAGGAACCCGGAGGCACTCGCCCTGCCCGTGGGGGACAGGGGAGACGCGGGTGACCGGGGTGCCCAGGGATGGGACGCAGTCACCTTCCAGATGCACAGCCGTGGGGAGAGCTGAGCCTGACACACGTGGAGAACAGAGATGTCCAAGGTGGGCACCAGGTAACCCCGTGGGCTTCCTAAGTAGAGGCTTCCACAACAGAAAGAGGGGAGAGGAGACAGCAACCCCGAGGGGAGTGGCTGAGCTGGGTGTGCGCATTAAGTTGTGGGGGGAGAGGGAGCGAGGTGGGGGTGAGTGGTGGGGGGAGGTGGCCAGGTGTGCGTGAGTGTGGGGGAGGGAGCCGGGTGTGGGTGACTGGTGTGGGGAGGAAGCCGGGTGTGCAGGGGGCAGGGATGGGTGGGCTGGGGGTGAGGCTGGAGCGGGGCTGGGGCTGGGAAGGGAGTAGGTGAGTTTGGAGGGAGGGGGAGACGGGGGGGCGGGGCCAGGACCCCTGAGCTCCTCATCTTGGGGCGTTTCTTTGTGCGTGTTCTGTGGTGGGATCTTCCCAGCATGGTGTCTTCGGGATAGCCACCCTGCTCACCTGGTGGCTCAGGGTTTTAAGCTGAGTCCCCGAGAGAGCGAGCCAGCCAGTGGGAGGCGGCCTCCCTTTTCTTCCCTGATTCGCAAAGAATAGCTGGTGTCTCTGCCTCGCAGTCCCCTTGTTAGAGGCAAGTGCCCACAGCTGGGCCCCGTTCAGGGGTAGGGGACGGAGACTCGCCCTTCTTCTGGGAGCCAAATCAAAAGAATTGGCTGACGTGTTGTCTACCCACAGACAACTGTGACACAGTCTGGGGACCTCCTAATTGGAAAGTCTCTGGGCACCTGCCAGTACTGGCCCTCGATGCTGGGTGTTGGGGCATGGCTGGGTGATGGCAGAACATGCCTGACTTGAGGATGGCTGGCCTGCAGCTACATTTTCTGAGACTAAACAGCAAGTCTGGCCACCAGGGAAACCGCCATGTTGTCTGTAGTGGGGATGGCGTGGATCCGCCGAGACTGTAGCAGTCACCACCGCCCTCTGCCCCCCAGGAATGCAGAGTCATGTTAGGAAGGAGGAAACAGTTAGGAGATGGAGCCCTAGACAAGACAATGACCTTGACTTTGGTTTGCCTTTGGTTTGGGGATACAGCGGCAGAAAACACAGGCCTTGGAAAGACGCAGGTGTCCTGGGTGAACTCTCAAGCCAGATGCAGCCACGACTGGCCCAGCACATGGTGAGTGGAGGCCCGGCTGGCAGAGCCTCCTTCCACGGTCTCGGCGTCAGGGACACGATGGGGAGTAGGGTGCTCCGTGTGCAGAAACTGGACTAGAAGGAACTGTTTCATTACAGGGGGATCAGCGGGCCTGGGGATTCAAATATACTCCAGGCAGCATTCAAAGCCTCCTGTAAGGAAGCTGCGCGGTGAGATATTCACCCCCTACCTGCTCATTAGGAAAACCCACTCTGGAGCTGGGGGAGGGATAAACAGTGTCGCTCTTCCTGGTGCGCTGGAGCTCCCTGATGCAACGCGTGGTCTCCTTACACTCAAATGAGTGTATTCTGTGCGCAGACTTTTCTTAACGGCCACGCGGCCCCACGTGCCAGGCAATGGCCAAGTTGCAGTAACAGTAACAGCTGGGGTTCTTATTCACTGCAGCAAAGCAAATAAAGAGGAAACTGAGTTTCACCTGAAGCGATTGCCTGCACTGCTTGGTGCGCCTGGCTCCAGGCATCGCCACCTCGGGCCTGACCCGGACCTTAGGTTTCAGAATTAGTGACTTCCTTCTGCCAGGCTGAGCAGGTTCCCATGAGGCCAGGCAAGCATTTCTTGGTGGAATGGGGTTTGGCAAATGTTGCAATGTTACATAAAAATAATAAGTAAACACAAAAAGAGAAAGTGACAGTCAAATTTGGAAACTGAGCAAAGGTGAGCAGATTTCTGTTTTTGTTGTAAACAGGACTTCTCAGCACCTTCAATATGCTGCCTCGCTGTGCACGTCCAAAACTATACGTGGTGTTTTCCACACCTTATTTGACCTGTGTTTCCATGATCTTCTTGGGTGAAGAGTGCTCCGGTGGTAACATATGTCTTAGAGCCACTCAACTTGTAGCCCGTGACCTGGGGCCACCTGGGGGACTGGTTGCTACACGTCTGCGAAGAGGTAAGTTCAGAAATTGAGAGTAAGGTTTTGAGAACTTTTAAAGCATTTGGCAGACTAATTTTCATATTTTTTGAATTTAATCATAAAGTGGGGGGGTTGCATTTCTTTGTTTTATGAATCCTGTTTTCCTAGAAATTAATGTTTTGAGTACTTTAACAAAAAAATCTGTTTGCAACACTCTGAAAATGTAGATGGTCCCTGACTTTATGATGGTGCTAAGGTGAGTCCAAAAAACTCAAAACTGTTTTTTCTCTGCTCTCGCACCACAATGATCAACACAGAAGACCTCTGTGTGGGTGGGGTTTTCTCCACTGCACGCCAATGTGCAAGCCGTCAGTTCTGCAGAGACACCAGTTGGGTGTCCTGCAATCCAATTCAATTCTGACGCTATTGACACTACCCAGAGGTAGCGTCAGATCCCACAGGCTGAGGACTCAGTCCACAAGACTCTGTCCCCACTCCTGCTGCCAATCGCAAGCCCCAGGTGGCTCTATCTGTGCTTCTCAGTGACCAGCTATAAATCAGGGTTCCCACGACTCCCTTCTTGGGTTCGGTTAATTTGCTAGAGTGGCTCACAAAACTCAGGGAAGCCCTCACTTACGGTTGCTGGTTTACGATAAAGGAAATTACAAAGGATCATGATGAAGAGATGTCTAGGGCAAAGTATGGGGGAAGGGGCGGAGCTTCCAGGCCCTCCCGCCACGGCGCTGCCCTCCAGAAACCATGTTTTCAGGTATCTCAAAACTCTCTGAATCCTGTCCTTTTGGGGACTTTTAAACTATTGGCCATTGGCGGTCACCTTCAGCCCCCACAAAGACAGAGGCTGGGACTTTCAGCACCCCCGCCCCTAATCCTGCCTTGGTCTTTCTTGTGAGTAGCCCCATCCCAAAGGCATAATACCTAGAGTCTGCCAGCCAGCAGCCGATCATTCACATACAGAAGATACTGCTTTGGAGATTCCAAGGATTTTAAGAGATGTATGTCAGGGAACAGGAAGACCAAATAGAAAGCGATAACGCACTCAGCAGAAACTACTTTGAGTACCCGATAACCATTCTGTTTTCCACTCTCAGTACAGTATTCAACAAATTCCATGAGCTATTCAACAGTTTATTATAAAACAGGCTTTGCGTGAGCTGATTTTGCCCACAGGCAGGCTAATGGGAGCGTTGAGTGCATGTTTCGGGTAGGCCAGGCTGAGCTGTGATGTGGAGTGGGTTAGGCATTCAATTCATTTTTGACTTAAGGTATTTTCAACCCATGACGGGTTTATCAGGACAGAACCCCATTGTAAGTAGACGGAGGATGCGCCCTTGCCCTCATCATCTGAGAATGTCCCCACCAACATCAAACCTCCCATCGGATCTTTGAAGCATTAGGCTCAGAGGACGAAGGTCATCCCAGACTCCTGGCTCCGTGACGTCCGGTACCCCTGACCTCCACAGCATCCATCACTGCGTATTACGGCTTCTTCAACCCCCTGTAATTGTCGTGTGAGTGTGGATTCTCAGGTCCTTGTTTCTCGCAGAGGGCCATCCATGCCTTGACCCACGACAAGGATCCAAGCATCCGGAGCTTGTCTGGAGAGAGCTTCAGAGGAGGAAGGAAGGGACAGCCATCACCTGGCACCGCGTGCAGCCCCCTCACGTGTCCGTCCTCTCCTGGGCCCTGAGTCTCCAGCTGACAGCTCAGTGAGAACCTCAGAAAGCATGACAGGCTTTCGGGAAGGGTGGCTGCCCACAAAAAAAAAACAGGAGGAGGCCTGGGAAGATGGAAGCAGATCGTCTGAACACTGCTTGCCTTTTGTTCTCTTTAATGGGCCGCTCACGTGGGCGGTTTTTTTCCTCGTGGTCTCTGAAGTGTTCTCCAATAGAAGCCTTCAATCCTTTAAAAACAGTCATTTCTGTAACAATGGTAATTGCTTTAATTGGAGCTCTTTAAAGGTAGATCCTTCTCGCCCACCTCCTCCCGAGATGTGGGTGGTGTTCTGATCTAGCCCGCCGCTCTCCAACAGCATGGTCTTATTTCCTCTTTATCACTATGAATGGGCAATGTTAGGGGTATTACCAGAAAGAGGCCGGATTCAGACTCCAAGAGAGGGTTCCTGGACCTCATGCAAGAAAGAATTGGGGCTGAGTCCACAGAGTAAAGCGAAAGCAAGTTTATTAAGAAGGTAAAGGAATAAAAGAATGGCTACTCTCCACACAGAGCGGCAGCATGGGCTGCTGAACTGTTTCTACTTAAAGATATTTCTTGATTATATGCTGAACAAAGGCTGGATTGGATTATTCATGAGGTTTCTGGGGAAAGGGGTGGGGATTTCCCAGAACTGAGGATCTCTCCCCTTTTTAGACTATGTGGGGTAACTTCCCCACGTTGCCGTGGCATTTGTAACTCAAGGTGCTGCTGGGAGTGTCTTTGACATGCTAATACATCATAATTAGTGTTTAGTGAGCACTGAGGATGACCAGAGGGCACTTTTGTCGTCATCTTGGTTTTGGTGGGTTTTGGTCCACTTTTTACTGCATCCTGTAGGGTCTTTGTGACCTGTATCTTGTGCCCCTTCTGTCTCATCCTTCCTGTGACTAAGAATGCCCAGCCCCCTGGGAGTGCAACCCAGTAGGTTTCAGCCTCATTTTACCCAGCCCCTGTACAAGCAAGATAGTCACTCTGCCTCAATATACTCTAACAGGAAGGAAGCCCCTCCCTCAAAAAAAAAAAAAAACCTTCCAAAACGAGCTATTTTTCAGTTCCAGGTAATAGTGGATAACCAGCTTTATGTATAGGAAGCAATGCTCCTTGTATATGGGGGGCCAGATCTGCATTTGGAACTTACACATAGGATGAGGACTCAAAGTCCCACCGGGCTCCATTTCAAAGTCCCACCGGGCTCCATTTCACCACAAAAGCATCTCCTGCCCCCCAGCAGAATCTGTCTGGCACTCACATTTCTGGGGGACTGGCACTGTTACTGATAATGGTTGGCCCTCCATAGGGTCTTTCATCCCCAAATAGCCACATTCTTTAGAATAGCTGCTGTTTGGGCCGCTTGACACAGTTAGGGACGTGGGCATGACCCCCTTCTCTTTCTGTTCGAGGAAGGTGAGGGACAAAGGAGCCACACTGGAAGGACACGCTCGTTTGTTGGGGGTGTGGGAGGAAGCGCAGGGCTGGCCCGTGGGCCAACGGCTGCCTCTTATGTTCTGTGTGTCGCCAGTGGGGACAGAGACAGCATACTCTTTGGTTCTTGGGGTTCTAGTTTATGTCAGGTTTTGCTCTCCCAGTTGGTGTTGGGTGACATTGCTAGAAATGTATCTATCACGGATATCTAAAGACGGAAGCTGGGAGCCATTGAACTTTGCTTCTAAAACTCCTCCTTCTGGAGTGTAAAGAGCAAAAGTGAATAATCTGTGCTCTGAGTTTCTTGTGCATTCGTGTTTTTCTGTCCTTTCTCTGCCCCTTGTCCACATTTTAGGAAGATAATAAAAATGTCCATTCATTCTACTCCTATATCTGTCTATCTACTCATCATCTGTCCTATGCCTTTATCAGTCAATCAATCATCTATTCACCCATCCTGTACCTCTATTTATCCATTCTATACCTGTCTACCCATCCGTCCTATGTCTCTATATGTTTTCTGTCTTTCCATTCACCCTATACTTAAGTCTTTCTCTATTCATTTGTGGCAAGCCAGGTCTCATTAACGCCGGCTTCCATAAAAACAGTTTCAGCACTGAATATGTGGTTAAACATTAAAAGCCAATAGAACCAGCACCCTTATACGAAGGCTGGAATGTAACAAAAGCCCACCAAGAGTTTTGCCCAGGCCTTTCCTGGGCCTTGAAGCATGACAAGATAACAGAGGAGTGCTTAAAAGGACCTGTTTAGGGTTAAACAAGCTTACTGGGGGTCTGAAGAAACTCCCCAGACCTCCATGATTTAGCAGGAGACAAGCTAATGGTAGTCACCCCAGCACCTGGACCCAACTAGATGAAGCAAATTTCCTGAGGCTCCAGAGGGAGGTCTTCAAGACTCAGCCCTTAGTTATAGATGAGAAGAAGTTAATCGCTTAAGTGTGTAGAGGAATGCACACTTACACATAGACGTATAGCTTAGAAGGTATGTAAGCTCTGGAAAACTTTGTAATTTTGAGTTGGTCCTAGTGATAATTTCCAGGCCTTCTCTCTGTACCTAGTTACAGAAATCAACTCTCTTCTTTCCCAGTTCATCTGCATCTGGTTATTGGGCCGTGAGAATAAGCAGCCCGACCCCTCAGTTTGGTCTGGGAACACATTCATCCATCAATCCTATACCTATATTTCTATCTATTCATCCTATACCTCTACTCATTCATTCTATACCTATATATCTACCCATCCATCCTATATCCCTATATATTTTCTATCCATTCACCCTATGTTTATGTCTTTCTCCATCCACTCATTCATCCATCCTATACCTGTATTCCTATCTATTCATTCATCCTATATCTCTGTCTTTTGTATTATCTATTTATTCACCCTATACTTATCTCTCTCTCCATCCATGCTATACTTCTATCTCTGTGTTCTCTATCCATCCATCCACCCACCCACCAGTCAGTCAATCATCTATCTCATTCATCCATAGCTTGTACATCCAGGCCTCGCTGGTCTGTGACTGCCACCTAAACCATGTGCATCTCTCCATGAATCCCCCAGCCGCTCTTTAATCCTGTGAATTGTCCATCCTGGGTCGCCTCCTCACCCAGGTCTCAGCCCTCCTAAGCTCTCTCGGGAGTCTGAGTTGGCAGTGTGGGTGTCTCGGGCACGTCTGTGGTGGAGCCAGGCGCGGTACGGCCATCCCTGGCCCAGGCTGCTGCCCCGACCACATGCTGGCTGTGGCACCCGGCACTGCATTTCAAGCATGGGACTGGCTTCCCTGACATTCCCACGCCATGGCTGAAACCAGAGCCTCCTGGAGGCGAGGCATGAAGAAGGGAGGGGAGGCGGGCTCGGGTAACACAGAGGTCTCCTGGATGTGGCTGTCAGAGTTTCCAGGAAGGTCTATCCTCGAGGATCCCTGCAAGGGACCCCACCTGGCCTCCAGGTGGCACTTATGTGAAGGAGCGGCCCCGCCCTCCTGCCTTTCCTAGGAGAGCTTTGTGTTGTCCCTGACCTGGGGTCCAGCCCAGCTGCCAGGAGGCCCCGAGTAGCAGCCGTGGCTCCAGCCTGAGGGGCTGGCCTCCGTGTCCGCATTTCCTGTCACAGGACCAGCCTCTGCCCAGGTGGCAGGAATGCTCGCTGTGCTGGACGGGCGCCCCGTCTCAGCCTCGCGGCTGCTCGCCTGCCATTGGTCTCAGAACATAATGGGCACCCAGTGGGACTCCAGCCTTAGGAAGCAGCAGGCTCAGGGCACAGCCTTCTCCACCCCTGAGACACAGCCAGTCCCACCCATGCCCTGGGCAGGGCTGAGGAGAGGACAGGGCCTCCTTCCCTTCTCATGGATTCTCCACCCCGGCCCTGGTCTCCTGCAGATGCCCATTCAAAGGAGTGAGCACGCATCCTGCACCCTAGAAACAATGCAGTTCAGGGGCAGCCGCTGCACATGCACCTGGGATAAGAAATATTTTCGAGCCCTTTAATGAATATAATGAGTTATAAACTAAGTAACTTTTTTTTTTCAGAAACAGTTCTGATTCTGCCATTTCTTCCGCACAGAAGGTGTAGCTTCCCAGGCTAAAACATCTGCCTTCAGAGCAGTGGTGTCTGGAACCACAGTGGCTGTTTGCTGTACACTTAGTAATCAAAGACCACTTTCGGTGTTCTTCTTGAAACAAAGCATCAGTCTGCCCCAGAGGTAAATTCACATTTCTTCTTTTTCTTATTTCTTTCTTTTTCTTAGATAAATACTGCTTGCGGGTTCTAAATAACTTTTAAGAAAACACAAACTTAGGGCTTGGAGTTGTATTAATAGTTAAGCGTCTGTTTGTCTCCTTAACTGTGTACTGCCCTTCATCCTGCCACTTTCCCAGCACCTCACAACTCTATTTTCCTCTTTTCTTGTTTATTTCTGTCTCCCCTGAGCTGGAGGTTAAAGGGTCCACCTTGCACGTGCAGCTGAGCTACGGAGGCAGCTGCAGGGATCCCCCTCTCCTTGGAAGCGGTCAGTCATGTAGGGGGGCTGCCTTCCTCAGTTCCTGGCCTATTAAGAAAAAGGAGGGACAGGTGCAGTGGCTCATGCCTGTAATCCCAACAGTTTGGGAGGCCGAGGCGGGTGGATCCCCTGAGGTCAGGAGTTTGAGACCATGCTGGCCAACATGGTGAGACCCCGTCTCTACTAAAAATACAAAAATTAGCCCGAAGTGGTGGTGCACGCCTGTGATCCTACCTACTCGGGAGGCCGAGGCAGGAGAATCGCTTGAACCAGGAGGCAAAGGTTGCAGTGAGCCGAGATCGTATCACTGCACTCCAGCCTGGGCAACAGAGTGAGACTCCATCTCAAAAAACAAGGAGATAAAAAGGTGGGTGGTGTGGGGGCAGAAGCTATCTCCAACCTTGCCTAGCTCTTAATGGGCTCTTCAGCTGGATCTAGAAACCAAAGTGCCATCAGGCCAATTAACAAGGGAGAAGCATACAAGTTTTAGTGGTTTTACATGTATGTGGGGATCTTCATGAGAGACTGAAGAAGTGGCCAGATTAAGATGCTTTTAAGACAAAAAACGATACATTTGACAAGAGATGCTAGTGAGAGAGGAGGTACAAAGAAATTAGCTAGGTAGATAGTTAGGGCAGAGTCCTCAGCGGAACTTCTCTTCTAACAAAAAGCAGCCCAAGAAATTACTTCTTTTCTAACAAACAGCAGCCTGGAAGACCAGGCTACAAACATAGATAAGGAAGCAACTCTACACAGAGTGGGAGCTAAGGAAGCAGCTCTACACAGAGTGGGAGCTCCTGGGTCATCAGCAAGCTTCACATACAGTGGGTCCAGTAAGCACCGTGGGCCTTAGCACATTCCTTCCCTTTTTCGGAAGCTTGCATGGGGGCGGGGGAGGGGGATGCCTGCAGCTGCACCAGTAGAAAGGGCTCCCTGGGGCCAGGCATATCCACCACGGGGGCTCCACCCACCCTTTTTTCCACACACGCACAGTAGGAAGGCAACGTGGTTCAGGCAAAGGACCCGCCTGCATAATAAAAGGCTGGGGTGGGGGCTGCCAGAGATTTTGTGCTGCACACCTGCTCCTGTTTTTTTGCACCCTATGTTGATAAGATACGGCCTCCCCACTAGCTCGCTTATAAAAACTCTAGCATTTCACTGCTGAATGGCAACCCTTTCTGGGACCCCTCTCTGCAACAGAGGGCTGTTCTCTTTCTTTCGCCTATTAAACTTCTGCTTCTGCTCTGACCTCACCGTTGGTGTGTCTGCGTCCTTGATTTCCTCGGCTGTGAGTCCAGGGACTTTGGGTGTGACCCCAGGCCATTTCACTAGGACAAAGAGGATCTGGCTAAAGGAAGTACCTTTCTAGGGGAGTCACTAGGAGATCTATGGGAGATGATGTAAAACTAGTGGCCGGGAAGTATATTTATTCATCTTCCTTATGCAGCCGCCAGTGCCCAGGCTCTGGTGATAAGGGCTATTTTCTTGCCCTGCTCTGGCAAGGGTACTCTTCCTGGAGGAATCTTCATGGCTTACTGTACGCAGGGAGAGACGGATCAGCTCACGCTTTCTGAAATGACGATTTCTCCAATGGGTTTGACTCAGAATAATCAAGGTGCCAATCCAGCATATTTTGGGATGGTACACCCTTCACTCCTTTGATGGCGTGTCATTTTGATAGAGACAAGAGGCAGCCAAGTCCCCTTCCCACTGTGCTCCCTCCCCACGAAGCCCTGCCTTCAAGCCTAAAACAGCCTGAAGGCTGAAAAACTGGACTGCCAGTCCAGAGAATCTCCAACTGGCCTGAGCATGGGAGAATGGAGCGGAGCCACATAAGTTCACGCCATTTGCAGAGGGGAGGATCTCAGCCTCTTGAGTCCCTGTCTGGTGGAGTGGGAGCTGGTCCCTCTTGCTCTGCTGAAAGTTTTTCTCTTTCTCCGTTTTCTCCCAATAAATTCCATTTTTTCTCACCCTTCTATGTGCCCATGAGCCTAATCTTTCCTGGTCGTGTGCCAAGAGCCTGGTTTTTAGCTGAACTGAGAAGAAAGTCCTGCAACAATTTCAGTGTCAAAATGGGCATTGTCCAATAGGTCTGCCCGAGGATTATTTAATTATCTCAGGCAATGGTTTGCAACCCTGGGTCCCCCAAGGGATGTTTGCAATGTCAAAAGGCATTTTTGATGATCATGGCTGGGGCAGGGATGCTGCTGACCCCTAGTGGGAAGTCAGCAGGGATACTGCTAAACATTTCAGGGGTCATAGGACATCATCCAGGACAGCCACCTACAGCCACACGTTATTCCACTCCCTGCTTTCTATTAAATCAAGGTCCCAGAAGTTTTTTGTGAACTCTAGATTTTTGAGCAATAGAGATGAAAAGAATCTCTGTCTGGTAGAAAAGATAACCCCAAAGGTTGTGGTTTATTACTCTGCAGGACGTTAGCCAGTTTGGGGTTATTTGGTATTAACGTAGCACTCAGGTTCTGACAGTCCTTTATTCAGTTACCTAAAAATACCAAGTTCCTTAAGTGCTCTTGGCACCATCTTCCTGTTCTACCAGTAATTAATTGCATAGAATATTTGATGTGCTCCTTTAGACACTGTAATAGTTATCTATGGCTGTGTGACAAATTACCCCCAAACTTAGTGGCTGGAAGCAGTGCACAGTCTCTGTGGGTCAGGAATTTAAGAGTACATTGTGTCCGTTCCCAACAAATTCATGCAAACACCAGGGGCATTCTGTCCGATGAGCGTGAATGACCGGGAGCTCTGAGGGCTCTAATCCCATCTAAGCCTGAGTCCAGGTGCTTGGGAGAAGCCTGTGACATCACAGATCCCACATCTGCTGCCACCACGGCCACCTCAGCCCCTTCCACTCCGTTACTATGATCCCTTGGAGTCCCATGGCCTGAGCCACCTCCGTGTGTGGCGGTTAGAGGGGGCTGGCTCAGGCCCATCATGGCTCTGCTGGAAACCAGCTTCCCGCCCCTTCCTGTCTGCTGGAAACCAGCTTCCCGCCCCTTCCTGTCTGCAGAAGGGAGTAACGCCTGCACCCTGGCCCCATTTCTCCTGTCTCTGAGAAGACTTGTGCCCAGAGAGGGCCAATGAGGTGGCGTTTGTTCATCTGCAGTGTCTGCTGCTGCCCTCATAGAAGAAAACGTGGCGGCCTGCTGGTATGCGGCCAATAAACGTATGAGGGCTTTTTAAAAATTTAAACTTTTAATTTTTTAGGGACACCATCTTGCTCTGTCTTCCAGGCTGCAGTGCAGTGGCAACCATGGCTCACTGCAGCCTCAAACTCCTGGGTTCAACTCATCCTCCCACCTCAGCCTCCCAAGTAGCTGGGACTACAGGTGTGCACCACCACCATGCCCAGCAAATTTTTGTATTTTTTGTAGAGATGAGGTCTCACTGTGTTGCCCAGGCTGGTCTTGAATTCCTCCCACCTCAGCCTCCCAAAGCGCTGGGATTACAGGTGTGCCCCACTGTGCCCGGCCTCCTATGAGGGGTGCCCTGTTCAACAAACCAAAGATGTCCAAAAATGTAAGTATCCTTATTTAGGAAGAAAAGTTTTTGTTTGGGGAAAGGTGGGGTTGATGGGCGTGAGAAAAAGTTGGATAGCTTGTCTCTGTTAGCTTGATGCAGAAAGTGATACTGCAGGCCGGGCACAGTGGCTCCTGCCTGTAATCCCAGCACTTTGAGAGGTCGAGGCAGGCAGATCACAAGGACAGAAGTTCAAGACCAGCCTGGCCAACATGGTGAAACCCTGTCTCTACTGAAAATATAAAAATTAGTTGGGCATGGTGGTGCATGCCTGTAATCCCAGCTACTGGAGAGGCTGAGGCAGGAGAACTGCTTGAACTGGGACCCAGGAGGCGGAGGTTGCAGTGAGCTGAGATCACGTCACTGTACTCCAGCCTGGGCTACAGAGCAAGACTGTCTCAAAAAAAAAAAAAAAAAAAAAGATATTGCAGGAGCCCCAATCTTCTATGCCTCCCCAACTAAAGAGCAATGCAAGCTGCCTCCCTCCCCCGCAGTCTGCTGTCAGGCAGTCCTCAGGCCATGTGGCTTGCTTTGTCCCTATGGCAAATTTGAACCCAGATGAAACCAGAGGCTTCCTGACACAATATTCCTGTGATTTGGGACCAGTCACAAGACTGTTATCATTTTTTTGAAAACGCTGCATGGATTGATTTATTATTTTTTAGGGGCAGGGGGTCTCAGTTTGTTGTCCAGGCTGGAGTGCAGTGGCGCGATCATGGCTTACTGCAGCTTCAACCTCTTGAGCTTAAGTGATCCTCCTGTCCAGCCTCCCAAGTAGCTGAGATTACAGGTGTGTACCACCATGCCCAGTTTTATTACCTTAGTTTTTGTAGAGATGGGATCTCGTTCTGTCACCCAGGCTGGAGTGTGGTGGTGTGATCACGGCTCCCTGCAGCCCTGAGTTCCTGAGTTCAAGCAATGCTCCCCGCTTGGCTTTCCAAGCAGCTGGGACTACAGGTGCACACCATCACACCCAGCTAATTTTTAATCTTAATTTTTTGTAGAGATGGTATCTCATTATGTTGCCCAGGCTAGTCTGGAATTCCTGGGCTCAAACGATCCTCTTGCCTTGGCCTCCCAAAGTGCTGGGATTACAGGCATAAGCCACTGCGCCCAGCTGGCTACATTTAATTTATTGTCTCTGTGCCTCAGTTTCTTTACCTGGGAGGTGAAGGATGAGGCCTGTCCCCAGTTGGGCCCTTCTGAGGATAACGGCTCATAGTTCCAAAGGCTTCTTCAGTTGTCTTTTCCCTTGCTCCTGAATGGCGTCTGCCTCCCTCACCCAGTGTGGCACCAGCACGTAGTAAGTGCTCAGGAAACTGGAACGACTCTGCTTGGCTCATTTCTCATCCTGCCTTAGTGTTGTTACATCTCTCCCTCACCCAACTCTGCTTAAATCAAAGCAGAAGTTCCCATTTGCCAAGCTCTGCCTCCTTCCAGCGGCTTCCATCATGCCTCTGTCTGCTCAGCCTCCTCCAGGTCCTGATAAAATGTGTTTGGACACTTGACTGGGAACGAGTCCTTGCAAATGAAAAAAGAAAACCACCCTCACATGCAAATTCAACTCTAATTCTATTGCAAATGATCCCCGAAGTTTCACTGAGCCACAGCCTTGATGGGCAGCCCTGGGAAAGGAGGCTGGTGGGAGAGTCTGTGTCTGGAGTGTAATATCAGGTTCAGCAGGAGAAGCCTGTCAGATTAATTCTGCCCCACATCAAGGGCCTTATTGCAGTTCTTTACAGTTCTTGCCTAAAGGTCCACTGGGAAAAGAAGGTTTTTAAATCGAGGACAAAACCTCAGTACAAGCAGGCTGCGGGGACTGTGGGGTCTTTTTAGCTGGCTCTCAGTAGAGAAATCAGCTTTTAAAACTAGACTTTCCCAGGGTAAAGCCTCCCCACGAGCATTACTGAATGCACAGCCCAGACAAATGATCCTTTTTGCCTCAGAGCGCTTTGTCCTGTGGCTGAATGTGAGCTTGGTATGGAAGGCCTGGTATATCTGCATCTCCAGGCACGGCTGCTTGTCCTCTCCCTCTTCAGAGGAGTGTCCACCGGCCTGGCCTGCAATTCCTTCAGTAAGGTTGCTATCTGGTTTAGCAATCAATGGCTTCAGTTTTGTGGCCACATGCATGCAAGCTGCCTGGGAGCTGCTGACTTTGCCCAGGGCTTCTGGAAATGGGGTGCCTGGTGAGCAGCCGCCCCTGGGCCCGTGGGACCTGCTGTCAGGCCGCGGTGGTCCATGTTGCTTTTCTCTGCGTCTGTTGCTCTGGGTCCTTCTGGATGTAGCGATGTCTCAGCAGCAGAGTATTGGTTTTATTTATTCATGCGTGTGTTCTCGGAGCCGTGTGTCGTTGCCAAAGGGTTTATGGCCTCTTAAAGTTTCAGAGCCTCTGCTTTTATGACCACTGCTTGTTGGAGAGAAGTGCTGCTTGGGGAAATGGTCTGCTTGCCTTCTGCCTGGATGATGGATGAAGGGTGAGATCGCCCTCTTCCACGGAGAGCTCTGGCACGGCCCAGGTGTGTGCGCTCCGGTGCCACCAGCTCTCCTGGATGTTCGTGGCTTTGTGCATGTGTGCACACCCTCCCCGGGACCCACTCTGTGCTGCCCTCAGTGCTGGGCTGGTGCTGTGTTCTTGTGATTTGTCATACTGAAGCCGGCAGCTCCTGTGCCTCTCTGAGAACTCCATGATTGGAAAGGAATCCTTTCCAATCCTCCATGACTGCAGCGTGGAGGCCGATATCTGCATCCTTCACGTGATGATGCAAGTCCTCCCTGGCCTGGCCTGGTCAGACTGTCAGACTCCAGACTGACTGTTGGCAGCAGGCCTGCTGGATGTCTGTGGTGGGAATCAGGGTGTCTTAGTCCATTTGGCGCTCTAGAACACAGAACCATAGACTGGGGGGCTTATAAACAACAGAAATGTATTTCTCACAGTTCTGGAGGCTGGAAGTCCGAGACCAGGGTGTCAGCATGGTTGGGGGCTTGGTGAAGGCCTCCTCCTCACAAACAGCCATCGTCTTGCTGTGTGGTCATGTGGTGGAAGGGGGGAATGCTGGGCTCTTTAGCCCCTTTTAATGCACCGATCCCATCCCCAAGGGCTCTCCCCTCATGAGCTCATCACTCCCAAAGGTGACTTCATCACCTTGGGTCCTAGGCATCAGCATATGAATTTCAGGGGGACACAGACATTCAGTCCGTAGCACAGGGTGACTGTTGTGAAGACAATCAGGTGAAGGGAGCTTGGGAATGGGCAGCCCTGTCTTGGCCCAGTCCTGCCTGTCAAGTTTCAAGGGAGCTACAAGCATGAGGAGCAGGAGCAGATGGGAAACCAGGTGCCACTTTCACATTAGTTGGGCCAGTGCGTGACACCACTGTGCAGGTTTGTCTCCCAGAACTGGGTGGGTCCCACGGCAGCTTCCCCCTCTCCCCTGCAGCCATGGCCCTGAAACAGGATCTTCCCACCCTCTGACCTGCTGCCCAGTGCTGGAGACCAAGGCCAAGCCCACTGAGGTTCATTGACAAGAAGGAGAAAAGATCACAGTGGACAGGCTCAGCTATGAACCCTGTTTCACCAGAGACTGAAACATATTGCACCTGCGTTTCCTCCACATGAACGATGACTCACCCACTAGCAAATGCAGCTCATTCTCGTGCTGCCTGAGACATCGTGGGAATTCCTCATCCCCCATACCCCCTGGAATGGAGGGTGGAGAGCAGTAGCCCTTCCTCGTGCTTATTACTGTGCCAGTCCCTTATATCCTTGCAAGATTATGGACATGGACGTTCATTCAGCTCTTGTGCCCCTCATAGATCAGAATAGGGCATTAGTTAAAGCCAAGAACACACTTTATACTAGGCCAAAATTCATGTGCCCAAGCTTCCTTGTCCACCTGGCTTACCAGAGAGTGACACAGTGACCATTTGACAGCATCACCCAAATATAGCACCAGGAAAACATCACCCCTCCCATTTCTGTTTCATCAGAGAAAGACCCAACCAGTGAAATTCCCTGAGCCTGTGATTGACTTGTCCTCTCCCAGAGCACATCCATTCTTCACGGCTCAGCCTGTGACCTTGGAGCTGGACCCTGTAAATATTTCTCCCTTGCCAGCTGGGAGAATGTTAGGCTTTGTCTGTGGAAGGCAATAGGTGACCCCACAAGGCGAGAGCTGCAGAAGGCACTTCCCTTTTAGGTTCTGTTCCAACATTCTTGGATTCTCAAATCCAAGTGCTTTCTTTGCTTTATGGGGCAAAATAGATGCTATAGTTCCAGATGTCACATCTGGGTTAAAGGCAGAAAGAAGGGAGGTGGGAGCAGAACCAGCTATGGTTCAGCTACGTGTCTATAGCTGGTTTTTCAGGATGAGAATTGAGACCAGCCGTGCCCTCTAACAAACTTCTTCATGTTCCTCGTTGGCCTTGGTCTCTTCCTTGGATCTCTTTGAAGAGCTCTGAATCTCAGCCTTGAGATGGGAATGGTCCCCCTTCTCTTCCTTAGCTCCTTTGCTGTCCACTCTTCCTCGGCCCAGAGGTAGCACCTGCTACCTACAGATCCTGAGGAGTCCTCATTCACCCCCTTGAGTAGTTACCTACCTCCTACTGTTTTAGTTAACAGTTCTTTACATTACATTTTCCTGATTCAAATTAACCATGGCAGGCTGGGTGCGGTGGCTCACACATATAATCCCAGCACTTTGGGAGGCTGAGGCAGGTGGATCACTTGAGGTCAGGAGTTCGAGACCAGCCTGGCCAACATGGCGAGACCCCGTCTCTACTAGAAATATAAAAATTAGCCATGCGTGGTGGTGCATGCCTGTAGTCCCAGCTACTCAGGGGGCTGAGGCAGGAGAATTGCTTTGAACCTGAGAGGTGGAAGTTGCAGTGAGCCAAGATTGCACCACTGCACTCCAGCCTGGGTGATAGAGTGCGACTCTATCTCAAAAAAAAAAAAAAAAAAAAAAAAAATTAACCATGGATCTTCTGCCTGGACCTTTTTCTTCTGCCTGGATCTTGACAGATATTTGTCCCTCCCTTTATTACAAAAAAAAAAAAAAAAAAGGTCCAGATTTACTCTCTCTCCTTTTGAGACATTAACTCTTCAAAGAAATTATAGTCCCCAATCTCCCTCTCCCCTGTTGAATATTGGGTGTGGTTGAATTGAGCTGATTATTTAGACCACAGGTTATGAAGACACAATTGGGCTGCATCTTTCTGCTGGGGTTACGAGTGAGAAGCATTCAGGTCTAGGGCTGAGAGCTTGTCACCCCATCTGTCTAGATGGATCCAGTGCATCAGAGACCTGGTGCTGTAAGAAATGGAAAGCCCTCAGTACCCCATTGTTCAGCCTGACCCCTTCTTCCGTTCCGCAGTTCCACAAGCCAATAAAGTCCTTCCAGCCCCTGATGAAGACGACTAGTTGGGCTGCATTTCTGGCTGCTGGGAGGGTTGCTCCCTCCCAGATGCAGGTGTCCTGGCTCTGGAAGGGGCTGGCCCTTCACCACCTTCTGTCCCATGATGCTCAGCGGTTCTTGTTGGGTGTCAGCCATCGCCCATTTAACCGGTCAGTTATGGCAATCCCTGGGTCCAGTTGGAAAATGTCACCATCTACCCAGTTTGGGTTTTTGTGTTTGTTCTACAAAGGAGAGATGGTGGAGAGTGGAGGTGGGTGTGGATTCTACTTCTACTTCCCGTCGGAGACAGCAGAGTTGATGAAAGGTGTGCTAACAGGGTGCTCATCGAGAATTAGATTGAGACTCAAGTCACAGCCAACTTAAATGGCTGGAATGCATACAGGTTTATTTTTTCATACAACCAGATGTTCAAGGTAGATATTTGTTACCTATCACTGGTTCCTTTAATCTGCAATGCTCACTGCTGTACACCAAATGTTTGTGTTACCCTAAATTCATATGTTAAAACCTTAGCTCCAATGTGATGGGATGAAGGGGTGGGGGCTTTGGGAGGTGATTAGGTCATGAGAGCAGAATTCTCTTGTTTGCGATTAGTGCCCTTATTAAAAAAAAAAAAAAAAGACCACAGAGGCTGGGCACGGTGGCTCATGCCTGTAATCCCAGCACTTTAGGAGGCCAAGGCGGGTGGATCACCTGAGGTCAGGAGATTGAGACCAGCCTGGCCAACATGGTGAAACCCTGTCTCCAATAAAAATACAAAAATTAGCTGGGCGTGGTGGCAGGCACCTGTAATCCCACCTACTCGGGAGGCTGAGGTAGGAGAATCGCTTGAACCTGGGAGGCAGAGGTTGTAGTGAGCTGAGATCGCACCACTGCACTCCAGCCTGGGTAACAGAGGGAGACTCCATCTTAAGGGAAAAAAAAAAAAAAAAAAAAAAGACCACAGGGAGCTCTGTCTCCCCTTCTGTCATGTGAGGACACAGTGAGAAGACAGCATCTATGAATCAAGAATGGGCCCTCCCCAGACACCAGATCTGTTGATGCCTTGACCTTGGACTCCTGGCCTCCAGAACTGTGAGAAATAAATTTCTGTTGTTTATAAGCCACCCGGTTTATGGTATTTTGTTTGGCAGCCTGAACAGACTACGACACTTATCCAAGGGCTTTCTTTGCTTCATGGTGGCAAAATAGGTGCTGTAGCTCCAGACATCACATCTGGGTTGAAAGCAGAAAGAAAGGAGGTGGGAGCAGAACCAGCTATGTCTATCCCTTTAATAAGGAAAGCAGATGTTTTCCCAGGAGTGTCCTCAACCAACTTCCATTTGGTTTCATGGCAAGAAGTGGGTTATATGCCACCTGTAGTTGCAAGAGAAGTTGGGACAGCAAGAAAGACGATTGTCATGATTCATTATCTGGCACTGGGTGTGTGGCCACTGGACGTAATGGGGAAAAGGACAGATGGATGTCATGTGGGCAGTTAGCGGGTGGCTTTCCTGAACTTAGGTTTGAAATTGATATGGTTTGGCTGTGTCCCCACCCAAATCTCATCTTGAATTGTAGCTCAGATAATTCCCACATGTTGTGGGAGGGACCCAGTGGGAGGTAATTGAATCATGGGGATGGGTCTTTTCTGTGCTGTTCTTGTGATAGAGAGTAGGTCCCATGTGATCTGATGGTTTTATAGAGGGCAGTTTCCCTGCCCACGCTCTCTGTTGCCTGCCGCCATATAAGACGTGCCTTGTTCCTCCTCCCCTTCCACCATGATTGTGAGGCCTCCTCAGCCATGTGGAATCATGAGTCAATTAAACCTCCTTCTTTTATAATTACCCAGTCTCACATCTTCGTGTAGGATACAGATGCACTTCACTTTACTGTGCCCTGCTTTTATTGCACTTTGCAGATATTGTGGTTTTTTGTTTTTGGTTTTTTTTACAAATTGAAGGTTTGTGGTAACCTTGCATTGAGCAAGGCTGTCAGCACCATTTTCCCAACAGCATGTGCCTGCTCTGTGTCAGCCATCTTATTATTTTTTTTTTTTTTAGCAATAAAGTCATTTTGAATTAATTCATGAACATTTTTTATGCATAATGCTACTGCACACTTAAGAGACTACAAAACAGTGTAAACATAATTTCCATATGCATTGGGAAACCAAAAAATTGGTGTGATTCACTTTATTGCAATATCCATATTATTGCGATGGTGTGGGATGAAATCCTCAGTGTCTCCAAGGTATGCCTGCATTTTAGACAGAGATGCGTTCATGATATCATCTTGAGAGCAAACAGGGTCTTTTCATCGGCTGTCCTGTGTAAACAAAATTGCTTCTGCCAGTGACATTATTAGCATCCCAGCTGAGCAACCCTGTGGTTTGACCTTGGCTTGCCAGTGTAGAGAAAACTGCTGAATACTGTATATCCACCAGCTGTTCCCTTCAAAATGTGTGGTTACTTGGAAAGGAAAGAAAGCAGGTGGGCCTGAGGTTTCAGGATGAACTTGAAGGCTTGAGGAGGGGAGTCCTCCTTAACAAAGAGCATCTTTTCGATACCAATGAAGTGTATGTTTTTAGGAAGGCCTTAGAGAGCAGAGGGACAAGTGGTGGTTGCCCATGGTAACCGAGGTGAACTTTATTCCTGATTGGATGGAGGGCAGGGGAGGCCTGGCTGCTCTGCTTCTAGGTAGATTTTTTTTTTTTAATTATACAAATGAAAAGAAACAAAGGAGTGGGGTATAAGAGCCCATTACGGAGGGGCTTTTTCTTTTTTCTGATAATTATTGGTTAGGGAGGCCTCTTTCATGTAAGGCTGATGGAGAGAAGACCTAATACAGGGTGAATATTGCTCCTGCCATTTCCAAAACTGCAAACATTCAGAAAGATTTTGCCACCCCAGAGGAAGTTAGGTAGCAATTTATAAGAGGTGGAGTTTTTAGTAAGTTGACACTATATGCTCATAAATAAAACCTTTGGTAAGTTTAAGATAATTTATGTGTTCATTTATATCTTAAAAAAAAAAAGAACTATTAGCTGGCTCTTAAGTTTTCCAATTCTCCCAGCTTTAGAAGCTGGAGAGGGGCTGGCCCTTAGACACCGCAGGCCACCTAGCGGCCACTGCATGCATCATGACGTCCAGAGGGAACTGGGTTTTTCCTCTAGGATGTCCTTGACAAATGCAGTGTTTCTTCAGTGATAGACACATCAGCTGATTTGCGTGGCTTGGCCTGGCTCGCCCAGAATTCTGATTTTTGTTTTTCTGATTCCGTCCTCCTCACTTGACCGAGCCTTTGATTCGCTCCTTCATCATCATTCAGCAGGAAGAGCTGAAGCTTCTCTCCCTGACAGCTGAGGGCGCGTCGCTTCAGCAGAGACCTGGCAATTTGCAGGGCGGTGAAGCACCACTCCTCCCCTGGATAAGAGCTGGTGACAAATGGAGCTGAAGAAAATAAAGCAAATTCCAAAAGTGGAGACAATGGGGTGAGATCAACGTGAAACGTCAAGGAGCCGAGGATGCCGTCTGTAGACATGGCTGGGGGCTGCACACAGCGCTGCCTCGGATGTGGCAGGGGTGGCTCTTCCCTCCTTTTGGAAGGGCTGGGGCATGAGCACGGCCAGGTCTTTTCCAGGGGAAGACAAGTTGGTCTTGCTACCCTGTCCGTTCAGGGTTCTAGAATATTCTTTCAGGAACCTGAATTGCGTCTTTCTCTCCTAGGCAATCTGGCTTGTTTTGGTGCATTGGGAAGACTGTATTTTCCCACTGGCTAGTGTGAATTAAGTCGTATTTGCTGCCTTTGACAGAATCACCTTGAGGTGATAGGAAGCTGCCCTCCCGTGCTCAATTCCTGCTGGCCGGGTTCATCGAGGCTGCTGGGTCAGTTTGACACCTGCTCAGCCCTGGTGAGGTTGGCTATGTGGTCACGTTTTCTGTTCCCTCCTTCCCATCCCCGACCACAGAATACAAAGTCTGTGTGTGTGTGTGTGTGTGTGTGTGTGTGTGTGTGTGTGTGTGTGTTTGCTTGTATTTATAAAATGGAATGGAACCCCAAAACTGCTTATGGAGGGGACATGAGAGAAGCTAGATCTCTTCTCTGTTGGGGCACCCTTGGGCCTGGGTAAGTGCGGCCCCTGTCCTGGCCTGCCTCCGGCACCATCTTTCCTCTGGGATGCGGGATCCATGGGGCCGGGGGATATGGAACTGATGCCTTCCCTTCCAGAACACAGACTCCAACATTCCCTGCCCAGAAGGCCCAACTCCAGGGCTAGGGCTGGGCAGGCCTCATGGTGTGTCCTTCCTCCTGAGGGTGAAGGGCAAGATACGTGAGCATGGCCTCAGACCCGAGGGCTGACACGTCCACACAGGTGTGTGCAAGGTGCCGGGGGGTGTGGGAGGTGTGAGGAATGGGAAGAGAAGGGGGAGAGGAAGGCTGGTGCTCTCCATGCCCTCATGTTTCAATGTGGGATTCCAAAGAGCCAAGAATTTGAAACTGGAAACTGGTCTTCTGTGCTGATGTGAAGTGTTTATGTAAGTAGGAGGACAGGACATGTTCTAGTCAAGAACCTGTTGGGGCCAGGCGCGGTAGCTCAGGCCTATAATCTCAGCACTTTGGGAGGCTGAGGCAGGTGGATCACTTGGGGTCAGGAGTTTGAGACCAGCTTGGCCAACATGGTGAAACCCCGTCTCTACTAAAAATATAAAAATTAGCTGTGTGTGGTGGCAGGTACCTATAGTCCCAGCTACTCCAGAGGCTGGAGGCACGAGAATCGCCTGAACCTGGGAGATGGAGGTTGCAGTAAGCCAAGATTGCACCACTGAACTCCAGCCTGGGTGACACAGTGAGACCCTGTCTCAAAAGAAAAGAACCTTTTGGCTGAGTGAATGACTTTTGAATACATGTACACGTGGGGTACGGGCCTCTGTGACCTTATCCCAGGACCTACAGGTGTGAAGGTTGGTCTACTCAGTTCTCCTGGTTTTTGTATATTTGACTTCAGAATCATGTATATGTTTTACAGAAGTAAGAACAAGAATTAGAATTTAAAGAATGATCCCTAAATGTCAAAAGCAAAATGAAACAAATGAACTGATTATCGAGTTGGCCACATAACCACCTAGGAATGAACCATTTCAAGGGATGTTATTTTAAAACAGTAATTTGTTATTAGATTCCTAACTGGGCTGGATTTAGAGAAAACTGTAAAATTTTTAAAAAGCACCGTATCCAATAATACTATTATTTGTGGTAGTGTTAGGCATTTTTATTCTGAAACAATGTTGTATATATTGTGAAATAAAGCAAATGAGTTCATTTGTTTGCATCATTGAGAACTGTATGATTTGACATGGAAGGAAGGAAGGACAGATGTGCAACTAATTAGCTAAATAAAAACCCTCTAGGGCCTGAACCCAAATAGGAGGTTTTATTAGGAAGTCATCATGCATTTTATCTTAAAAAACTTTTCATGGTTTTGTCCAATAGAAAGGCTTAGAAACAATGATTAACTCAGTAGCAGTGAACACCCCCAGAACTCAAATTGGGGTGTCTAAATATCTAAAACCATCTCCCAACAAAAGGAAGCAGCACCGATTCCAAGTTTGGGATGGGATGTGCTTAAAATGAGCTCAGACTCTCCTGTCATACTGGAAGGCAAGGATGGTATCAAAGATGCTGACACCACATCAGAAGCACTCAGGAACCAAACCAAAGGGCTTCCACTTCCAAGATGAGACTGTTTTGAGTGTCAGTAAGAATACAGGGCCACAGAAATACTTGTTTCTACTTATGCATTATTTTGAAAACTGGTAAATAACAGAATGAAAGGAGTCAACCAATCCACCCATCCATCCTTCCTTCCTTCCTTACTTCATTCCTCTTTCTTTTTGATGGAGTCTTGCTCTGTCACCTAGGCTGGAGTGCAGTGGCATGATCATGGCTCACTGTAGCCTCAATCCCCTGGCCTCAAGTGATCCCCCTGCCTCAGCCGCCTCATTAGCTGGGACTACAGGCACGTGCCACCACACTCAGCTCTTAAATTTTTTATAGCAATGAGATCTCACTATGTTGCCCAGGCTGGTCTCAAACTCCTGAGCTCAAGTGATCCTCCTGCCTCAGCTTCCCAACATGCTGTGATTACAGGTGAGAGCCACTGCATGTGTCCTAGTTTGTGGATATCCACAAAATCACTTGCTGGGATTTTGGTTGGGATTGGATTGAATCTATAGACCAAGTTAGGAAGAACTGACACTTTGACAGATATTGAGTCTTCCTATCCATTTATTTAGTGCTTCTTTGATTCCATTCATTAGTTTCATAGTTTTCTTCATAGAGATCTTACATATTTTGTTAAATTTCTACCTAGGTATTTCATTTTTGAGGGTGCTAATGTATATGATAATGAGTCTTTAATTTCTAATTCCGCTTGCTTATTGCTGGTACAATTGACTTTTTTTTTTTTTTTTGTGATGGAGTCTCACTCTGGCTTAGGCTGGAGTACAGTGGTGTGATCTGGGCTCACTGCAAACTCTGGCTCCCAGGTTCAAGTGATTCTCCTGCTTCAGCCTCCTGAGTAGCTGGGATTACAGGCGTGTGCCACCATGCCCAGCTAATTTTTGTATTTTTAGTAGAGATGGGGTTTCACCATGTTGGTCAGGCTGGTCTTAAACTCCTGACCTCGTGATCCACCTGCCTCGGCACAATTGACTTTTATATATTAACCTTTTCTTCTAAAACTTTGCAATAATCTTATTAGTTCCAAAAGTTGTTTTAAATTATCTCAGATTTTCTACATAGATAATCATTTCATCTGCAGAAAAGGACAATTTTATTTTTTCTTTCCCGATCTGTATACCTTTTATTTCCTCATCTTATCGCATTCACTAGGACTTCCAGCACAGTGTTGAAATGAGTGGTGAGAGGTGACATCCTTGCCTTGTTCCTAATCTTAGTGGGAAAACTTCAAGTTTCTCATCATTAAGTATAATGTTAGCTGTAGGTTTTTGTTGATATTCTTTATCAAGCTGAGGAAGTCCTCCTCTATTCCTAGTTTACTGACAGTTTTTATCAAGGATGGGTGCTAGACTTTGTCAAATGCTTTTTCTGCATCTAATGATATTATTATGTGATTTTAATTATTTAGTTGTTGATGCGATGGATTGTATTTGATTTTTTTAAATGTTAAACCAGCCTTGCATAGCCAGGATAAATCACACTTGGTTGTGTATAAATCTTTTTTTACATAGTTGGATTTAATGTGCTAATATTTTGTTGAGGATTTTTACAACTGTGTTCATGACATATATTGTTCTATAGTTTTCTTTTTTTGTAATATCTTTGTTTTTTGTTTGCTTGTATTAGGGTGGTGCTGGCCTCATAGAATGAGTTAGGAAATATTCTTTCTGCTTCTAGCTTCTGAAAGAGATTGTAGAGAATTTATACAATTTCTTCTGTAAATATTTGGGGGGATTCAAGAGTGAGCCCATCTGGGCCTTGTGCCTTTTATATTGGTTGTTAATTATTGACTGAATTTTTAATAGATATAGGTCTATTCACAGTGTCTCTTTCTTCTTGTATCAACTTGGGCAAATTGTGTCTTTCAAGGAATTGGTTCATTTCATTGAGATTATCAAATTTGTGGGCATAGAGTTGTTCATACTATTCCTCAATTATGCTTTACATGTCTATGGGATCTGTAGTGATGACACTTCTTTCATTTCTGATATTAGTAATTTGTGTTCTTCTTTCTTAGCTTAGTGGATTAACAATGTCATCGACCTTTTTTAAAAAACAGCTTTGATTTTGTTTATTTTCTCTATTGCTATTCAGATTTCATTGATTTCTGCTCTAATTTTTATTACTTGCTTTCCTCTGCTTATTTAGGATTTTAAAATTTACTCTTCTTGTTTCAGTTTCCTAGTGTGGATGCTTGGATGACTGATTGTGGAGCTTTCTTCTTTTGTAATATATGCATTCAATGCTATAAATTTCCCTCTAAGTGCTGCTTTCACTGCATTCTATAAATTATGATGTTATGTTTTCATTTTATTTAATTTAAAATATTCTTCAATTTGTTCCTTGAAATTTTGAATTATTCCTGGAAATACTGAAATTTCTTCCTTGACCCGTGTGTTATTTAGCAGTGTGTTGTTTAATCCCCAAGTATTTTGGGTTTTTCTATATTTCTGTCATCAATTTACAGTGTAATCCCATTGTGGCTTAAGAACAGACGTTGTATGATTTCTGTTATTTTAAATTTATTAAGGTGTGTTTTATGGCCCAGAATATGGTCTGTCTTGGTGAATATTCCATGTAAGCTTGAGAAGAATGGATGGAGTGCTCTTGTTAGATGGAATAGTCCATAGCTGTCCATTATATCCAGTTAATTGGTGGTGGTGTTGAGCTCAACTGTGTTCTTAATGACTTTCTGCCTGCTGGATCTGTCAATTTCTGAAAGAGAAGTGTTGAAGTCTCCAACTATTATAGTGAATTTCTCTATTTTTTTCTGTGGCTCTATCAGGTTTTGCCTAACATATTTTAATATTCTGCTGTTAAGCATATACATATTAAGGATTATTATATCTTCCTGAAGAATTTATTCCTTTATTATTATGTAATACCCTTTTTTAACCCTGATGACTTTCCTTGCTCTAAAGTCTGCTCTGTCTGAAATTAGTAGAGCTACTCCTGCTTCCTTTTGATTAGTATTAACATGGTATAGCTTTCTCTATCCATTTACTTTTAATCAGATATAGCTCTATATTTAAAGTAGATTTCCAAAGGAAAATAAATTGTTCTACCCAAAAGACACATGCAACTGTATGTTCACTGAAGCATTATTCACAAAAGCAAAGATGTGGAATCAACCTAGGTGCCCATCAACAGTGGATTAGATAAAGAATATGTGGTACATATACCCCGTGGAATACTACACAGCCATAAAAAATAACAAAATCACGTCCTTTGCAGCAACATGGATGCAGCTGGAAGCCACTATCTGAAGTGGATTAACACAGAAACAGAAAACAAAATACTGCGTGTTTTCATTTATAAGTGGGAGCTAAACCTTGGGTACAGATATACATGAAGATGAGAACAATAAACACTTGGGAATACAAAAGGGGAGAGAGAGGGAGGGGACAAGGGTTCAAAAACTACCTATTGGGTCCTGTGCTCACTATCTGAGTGACAGGTTCAGTCGTATCAGCATCATGCAATATACTCTTGTAAGAAACCTGCATATGTACCCCCCAAATCTGAAATGAAAGTTGAAAAAAAATAAAGTGGGGTTCATGTAGACAACATACAGTTGGGTTTTGTTTTATCTGTTCTGATGATCTTTGTCTTTTAATTGGTGCCTTTAGATCATTGATGTTCAAAGTGGTTACAGATACAGTTGGATTAATATCTACCATATTTGTTACTGTTTTCTATCTGTTGCTCTTGTTTTTTGTTACTATTTTTGTCTTCCACTGTTTTTCTGCCTTTTGTAGTTTTAATCGAGCATTTTCTATGATTTCATTTTCTTACTCAACTAACCTAAGTCCACTTCCAAACAACATTATACTGTGTCACAGTTAGTGTGAGTCTCCTATAATAACAAAAAATCCTAATTCCTCCCTCCTGTCCCTTGTGTCATTACTATCATTAATTTTTCTTACACATAAATCTACATCAGTGTATATATACATGCACAAGCACACATGATAAAATCAGGTATTGCTATTATTATTTTAGGCAAACTGTTATCTATTAGGTCAACTAAAAGAAAGAAAACTAAAAGTTTGGCTGGTTGCGGTGGCTCACGCGTGTA
This sequence comes from Homo sapiens, assembly GCF_000001405.40. Lineage (NCBI taxonomy): Eukaryota > Metazoa > Chordata > Mammalia > Primates > Hominidae > Homo > Homo sapiens. The sequence continues at coordinate 11,417,998 of NC_000010.11, read as the reverse complement.
ATCCCAGCACTTTGAGGCCAAGGTGGGCAGATCACCTAAGGTCAGGAGTTCGAGACCAGCCTGGCCAACATGGTGAAACCCTGTCTCTACTAAAAATACAAAAAATTAGCTGGGTGTGGTGACACGCACCTGTAATCCCAGCTACTGGGGAAGCTGAGGCAGGAGAATTGCTTGAACCTGGTAGGTAGAGGTTGTAGTGAGCTGAGATCACACCATTGCACTCCAGCTTGGGTAACAAGAGTGAAACTCCATCTCAAAGAAAAATAAGAGTTTTTATTTTATCAGTCAGATGTGGTGACTCATGCCTGTAATCCCAACACTTTAGTAGGCTGAGGCAGGTGGATCACCTGAGGTCGGGAGTTCAAGACCAGCCTGGCCAACATGGTGAAACCCTGTCTCTACTAAAAATATAAAAAAATTAGCTGGGCGCGATGGTGGGCGCTTGTAATCCTAGCTACTCAGGAGGCTGAGGCATGAGAATCGCTTGAACCCGGGTGGCAGGGAGGTTGCAGTGAGCTGAGATTGCGCCATTGCACTCTAGCCTAAGCAACAAGAGCAAAAGTCCATCTCAAAAAAAAAAAAGTTCTAATTTTACCATCACTTATTTCTTCTCCAGTGCTATTTCTTTCTTTACATAGTTCCTAGTTTCTGACCTATGTTGTTTTCGTTCTTTCTAAACAGCTGCTTTTAACATTTCTTGCAAGACAGGTCTACTGGCAACAAATTCCCTCAATTTTTGTTTGAGAAAATCTGTTTCTCCTTCACTTTTCAAGGATGATTTTGCAGAGTACAGCATTTATTTGGGTTCAGTCTTAGCATGTCCATCTCTATGCTGACATTGCACATCTGTTCCTAATACTGTCCACTTGATCCATTAGTGTCCTTAGCATCTTTTTTTTTTTTTTTTTGAGACTTGGTCTCACTTTGTTGCCCAGGCTGGAGTTCAATGGTATGAGCCACAACCTCTGCCTCCTGGGTTCAAGCGATTCTCCTACTTCAGCCTCCCAAGTAGCTAGGATTATAGGCGCCGGCCACCATGCCCGGATAATTTTGCAATTTTTTTTTTTTTTTTTTTTTTTAGTAGAGATGGGATTTCACCATGTTGGCCAGGCTGGTCTCGAACTCCTAACCTCAAGTGATCCACCCACCTCGGCCTCCCAAAATGCTGGGATTACAGGTGTGAGCCACTGTGCCCAGCCCCTTAGCATCTTAATCATAATTGTTGTACATTCCTGGTCTCCTTAGCGCATAGGTTTAAAATTTCTGGTCTGATAATTCCAACATTCCTGCTGTATCCGAGTCAGGTTCTGATACTTGCTCTGTCTCTTCAAACTGTATTTTTTGTTTATAGGTATGCCTTGTAATTTTTTCTTGATAGCCGGATGTGATGTACTAGGTATAAGGAACTGTGGTAAATAGGCCGCTAGGAATGTGGTAGGAGGTAGGGTGTGGTGGGAAGGGAAATGGGCTGTAGTCCTATGATTAAGTCTCAGGCTTTGAGTGAGCCTGTGCCCCTGGGCTGTGAGCTTCACAAGTGCTTCTGAGTTCCCCTCCCTTAGGTGAGACGGGATGGCTTAAGTGGGTTGGAGTTGGGTATTTCTCTTCCCTTAGCTTGGTTTGGCTGTGATAAAACCCCAGGAGGTTAGGCTTTGGTTAACTACATATGTGCCTTGATTTACAATGGGGTTACATCCCAAGAAATCCATCAGAGAGGTGAGAATGCATTTAACACACCTAATCCACTGCGTCATAGCCTAGCCTGCCTCGAATCCGCTCAGAACACTTGTATTCTCCTACAGTTGGGAAATCATCTCGCACAAAGCCTGTTTTATAATAAAGTGTTGAATATCTCATGCAATTTGTTGAAAACTATACTGAAAGTGAAAAACAGAATGGTTGTATGGGTGCTGGAAGTACAGTTTCTGCTGAATGCATCCACATCAGCTTGAAAATTGTTAAGTGGGGCCAGGTGCGGTGGCTCACACCTGTAATCCCAGCACTTTGGGAGGCTGAGGTGAGTGGATCACCTGAGGTCAAGAGTTTGAGACCAGCCTGGCCAACATGGTGAAGTCCTGTCTCTAATAAAAACACAAAAAGTATCCAGGCATGGTGGCGGGTGCCTGTAATCCCAGCTACTTGGGAGGCTGAGGCAGGAGAATCGCTTGAACCCTGGAGGCGGAAGTTGCAGTAAGCTGAGATCGTGCCACTGCACTCCAGTCTGGGTGACAGAGCAAGACTCTGTCACAAACAAACAAACAAAAAAACTCCAAAAAACAATAAAAGAAAACTTGTTAAGTCAAACCATCTTAAGTTGGGGACATCTGTAGTTTCTTCCGGGGGGCAGACCTTAGTGAGAGGAACAGAATGCTCTGGCATTTTCTGGAATAGTTCCTTTCCCCCTCCTACTGCCAGAAGCAGGAAATAATTTTTCTCCAATATTTGCTGTGAGAACCTGGTTGAGCTCCTGGAGGTAAAGTCCACAGAAGTGTGGGGGCTTCCTATGGCTGGGTTCCCCTGGAGTTTTAATCTCAGGGTGGTCCACGGTGAGCTTGCAGCAGTTTGCCTGTGAGTTCAGGTTCCCACCTGGCGCTGGTTCCTGTGGAGTGTTATGTACATGGGTTTCTGCCCTTGTAAGTTGTGGCCCTGTGCCTACTAATGTCAGGCATTGTGCTAAATGCTTTATTTAGAACCCATTGAATGCCGTATGGAAGGTGACAGTGGCCTCCTTTGACAATGCAGGAAATTAAGGCTCAGTGAACATACGTGACCTTCCCAGAGCACAGAGCCAGTGGGAGTGGGGTTTGAAGCCAAGGCAGAGTGACAGTAAATCCTACATGGAGGTGCCTGCACTGCGCCACTCCCTTGGGAAAAGTGGCCCACAGTGGCATAGAGGGGAGCAGTGATTTTGTGAGAGATTTACCCAGCATGCACTTAGCTGAGTAGCTCCAAGGTTCTCTGGTCTCTGGCGAGTGTTTTGAGACAGATGGGGAAGGGGACTTAAACGCCCTAACTTCAGAATGATTTCCCCTAAAGTGGAACTGAGGGACAGACAGAAGACCCGTCTGCTGGTTTGCATTTTTGGGCAGTTTCTCCTGAGCAGCCCTTTGCCCTTGGCTCAAAGTCAGGAACACAAAGCTCTGGGGCAGAGAACAAAGATTTCATAGAAATCCACCCTGTGATCTTAGTGCGCTAAGTTCCCGGTGACTGTTAACTCTGCCTTTGTAACATTTCTATATTTTTCAACGAGCCTTCACAGTGATTGTTTTATGTAAGGCTCACAGCTGCTCTGTGAGCCAAGACAACTTATTGTCCTCATTTTCAGGGCAGAAAACTGAGGTTGAGAGGGTCAGTGACTTGTCCAAAATTACAAAGGACGTTAGCAATGGAGAAAGGTGAGGATTTAAACCTCTGGACTTCTAGCTCCTTCTCCATGGCAAATGCCATCTACAGTCCTGGGGATCTCTGGTTTATCAGTTAGTGTTCAGGCTAAGCTGCTGTGATGAAGAGGCCTCAAAATACAGTGGCTCAAATGAGATAAGGTCTTGTTTCTTTCTCATGTGACATTCCAGGGATGAACAGGAAGCCAGGTTCCTTCTCTCTCCTTGCTATGGCATTCTCTAGGCTGTGGTCTTTGCCTGGTTTGAAGGTTATGTGTACTATCACTTTCAAGTTCCAGTCCACAGGGAGGAAGGAAGAGAGGAAGCCAAGGGCAAGCAATTTCCATGAAAAACAAACAAACTAAAAAACATGATCTGGGCCGGGCATGGTGGCTCACGCCTGTAATCCCAGCACTTTGGGAGGCCAAGGCAGGCGGACCACGAGGTCAGGAGTTCGAGACCAGCCTGGCCAACATGGTGAAACCCCGTCTCTACTAAAAATACAAAATTAGCTGGATGTGGTGGCACATGCCTGTAATCCCAGCTACTCAGGAGGCTGAGGCAGGAGAATCGCTTGAACCCGTGAGGCAGAGGTTGCAGTGAGCTGAGATTACACCATTGCACTCCAGTCTAGGTGACAGAGTGAGACTCTGTCTCAAAAAAAAAAAAAAAAGTAAAACATGATCTGGAAGTTGCACACATTCTTCTGCTTATATCCCACTGGCCAACACTTTATCACATAGCGGCATAGAATTGCAAGGGACATGAATTGCAAGGGAGTCCAGAAGTGTGCCCAGCTGAAACTTGGTGGGAAGAGGTCTTATTACTAAAAGTGGTAAGATGAGAATAGAGAATAGATCCTGTGTGATCATTAGCAGCCTCTGGCTCAGTTGGTCCCCTTGGCCACCCAATTATCCAGGCAAATGTTTCTTCCCACACAGAGATCACACTCCCCACTCCCCACTCTCCACAGGGCACAGCCTCAAGGCCCACCCGGTTACTCATCCAGCCTAGTGCCCAGGATTTCCGAGTGTTGTGCCATCTTTCCCGTCAGGGTCCCCATGGTCTGGCAGCCTATAACTGAGTGGTGAGTTCCCTGCCCGCCTCAACCCATATTCAATTGATTTTCCCTGCTGGAGTTGGCACTGGATAGGCTGCCAGTCCAGAGGGAGTTCAGGGACACAGGCAGCTCTGCACCATAAGATCATCCGTTAGGTCCTGTTTCTGAATTCTCTGAGGCCATCATTTTCTCCCCTCTGAATCCTCCTTTTTCTCTGTATCTGTTATAAGAGAATTCCAATAATCACTGGTGGAGAAACATCTTGGCAATCATGTTTGGAAATGGTTTGGGAGAATACATGAAATGCTTGTCCCATCTCAGGGAGGCAGCAGGAAGAGATGCACAGCCCAGGGGTAAATTCTGCAAGACACCGTCTCTCACCTCCTGTGGGACCCTGGGGACTCACTCTTTGCCTCAGGTACTCCTCTACCAAGTGAAGGCTATGATAGCTCCTGCTCTTGAGACTGTCATGACGATTAAATGAGTGAGTACTCATAGCAAGGCATCTGTAATCCCAGCTACTCAGGAGGCTGAGGCAGGAGGATCACTTGAAGCCAGGAGGCAGAGGTTGCAGTGAGCTGAGATCACACCACTGCACTCCAGCCTGGGCAACAGAGCGAGACTTGGTCTTAAAAAAAAAAAAAAAAAAAAAGTACTCATAACAGGTGTTTAGTAAATATTACCATTACTGTTATTGGATTGCCTATCTCTGTGACCTAATCACCCTATTTGAGCTGCTTGCTAAATATTTGCTGTTTCAGTGAGTACATACTTCACTCTAGCCTTTCCTTATGCACAACTGCAAGTTAAAACACTTGCAATAATGCTTACAACTCTCTCTAGATGTTTCAGTCTGGGTCCAATCAGGAGACTGATATCATATTATAGTTAGAACAAGGGAAGACAAACATAAATAACTATTATGCAGTGATAGAAGAGTGAACACAAAGATGGAAGGAGAACTCTAACAGGTCTCCTAGGGCTGAAGAGAGAGTACCCAATGGATGGCAGGCTTGGAGAGGGGGCAGGCATGGAAGAAGTTGTGGTTGAAGATCACTGGATGGCACAGAAGTCCACTGCGTTAACCTGGTTAGAGCTGGTTCATGTTACTGGGCAGCAGGAAGAGCACTCCAGGACAAAGGTGAGCAGGAGCAATGGGGAGGCTTCCAGAGGGGTCAGGGCACTGCTGTCAGCGTGAGTCCTGGAGCTCAACAGTGTCTGCATTGAGGGGTCTGGAGCCTAGGGGTCACCAGGTGGGGCCAGGGCTCTGAGGCTCCTTGTGCTAGGGCAGGGTGCCACTGGATGTTCCCCAGCTGCTCAAAACACATATACACCACTGACCAGCAATGCAACTGGAGGAGGGGAAAAAAAGCAAAACCCAGCACACTGAAATGAGGATTAGGAGTCTCCCTCTCCTTGCAATGTTCTCTCACCCTCTACTGACAAAATTTAACATTGCACTCACTCTAAAGGAGAAATGCTTCATCCATCCAATTCTTGCAGAGCAGATACTGAAGGATGAATTTGGAGCCAACAGGCAATACATTGATAACTGGCACACTGGGTTAAAAAAAAAATTGCAGTATTCATCCACCAGATAGAATACTATGAAATAATTAAAAATTATGTTTTAGAAGACAATTTGTATTTCCCTGATGATTGGTGACGTTGAACCCATTTTCGTATACCTGGTGGCCATTGTATATTTTCTTTGCAGAAATGTCTGTTCGAGTCCTTTCCCAATTTTTAAATCAAGTTATTTGGGTTTTTAATTTTTTAATTTTTGTTTTTTTTCCATTGAGTTGGAGTTTCTCATGTATTTTAGATATCAACTCCTTATCAGATGTATGGCTTGTGAATATTTTTTCCCATTCCATAGGTTACTTTTTCATTCTGTTGTTTCCTTTGATTGTATTTTCTAGTTTGATGTAGTTTGTTTTTGTTTTGTTTTGTTTTGTTTTTGTTTTTTTGAGGCAGAGTCTTGCTTTGTCACTCAGGCTGGAGTGCAATGGTGCAATCTCAGCTCACTACAACCTCTGCCTCCTGGGCTCAAGTAATTCTCCTACCTCAGCCTCCCAAGTAGCTGGGATTACAGGCACCCACCACCATGCCTGACTAATTTTTGTATTTTTAATAGAGGTGGGGTTTTGCCATGTTGGCCAGGCTGGTCTCGAACTCCTGACCTCAAGTGATCCACCTGCCTTGGCCTCCCAAAGTGCTGGGAATACAGGTGTGAGCCACCGTACCTGGCCTGATGTAGTTCTACTTGTCAATTTTTTTTTTTGCCTTTGTTGCCTGTCCTTTTGTTGTCTTATACAAGAAATTATTGCCAAGACCAGTGTCAAGAGGTTGTCCCCTTATCTTTTCTTCTATCTTACATTTAAATCTTTAATTGATTTTGAGTTGGTTTTGTGTATGTTGAAAGATAGGGATCCAGTGTCATTCTTTTGCATGCGGATATCCAGTTTTCTCACGTGTAGTGTTGAAGAGACTGTCCTTTCCCCATTGTGTACTCCTGGCACCCTGTTGAAGATCAGTTGACTGTGTATGCATGGGTTTATTTCTGGGCTATTTTATTTCAGTGGGTCAGTATGTCTGTCTGTATGCCAGTGTCATGCTGTTTTGATTACTGTAGTTTGTAATATATTTTGAAATCTGGAAGTGTGATGCCTCCAGCTTCATTTTTTTTTCTCAAGATAATTTTGGCTATCCTCAGTCTTCTGTGGTTTCATATACATTTTAGGATTGTTTTTCTATTTCTGTAAAAAGTGACATTGGGATCTTGATGGGGATTGCATTGAATTGGTAGATTGCTTTGGGTTGCATGGAAATTTTAACAATATTGTCTCCCAATCCATGAAAACCTAGAATTTGCATCACATTACCTTGGTTGTCATGATGATATCATTTTATAAAAAAGAGTAAAGCTCTTTGTTAAAAAAAAAAATAGATTCCTGAATGTGTTCTCCTCTCTCCCTGCCTTTTACCTCCTTCTATTTTTCCTCTTTACTTGGTGAGAGACAGGTCTCGAGGGATAGTCACTTTATGTATTAAGAACTGATGATTTTCACTCCTTTCTTGTCATCTGCCTCATCCCTTATCCAGGAAGAGTTAGGAGGAATGTGTGTAGTTACCTAAAATTGCAACCCATAAATACTAATTGGCCACCTTCCCTCTCCTTGCTTTCAAAATTCCCCAGGGACAATGGGTTGGCCTCTCCTCACGCTCGGGAGAACTAGGAAGGATTTGTATCCTGGCTTAAGAAAAGGGCATGAGAAAATACAATTTCCTGTATTTTATGCATTTTAGCACGCATCTATCTGTGGTGAAAACAAGGGTCCCTGGTCTCCAGTGCTGGGGAACCAATGTCTAAGGGGTTTATTTTCTGCTGGACTTTGCATGCACTGTGTTTACATGCACTGAGAATCTCTCTATGGTCTGCAGCATTTCTCAGCTTTTGTTTTAATTAGTTTGTCTTGTGGAACACAGTTTAGAAAATGCTGCTAGAGAAAGGTATGAAAGACGTTTATAAATAACCTTTTAAAAATTTAAATATTAAAATGCTTGTGATCTTGTAGCATCTTTTCTTATATTGGTGATTGCCTTCTGTTATAAACAAAGTGTTTTCTCATGAAAACATCACTGCATGCATGTACACAGGTATACACACATGCATATGTATGCATTGACAAAGACTGGAAAATTCTACATCACAGCGGTAGCGGCTCTCTGAAATTATCTACCGTTTATCCCATCTGTGTGATTTGCATTTGTCTCCATTTCTATGAGTCTTTGTTTCTTTTGTATTAAGACAAAAATAACCGTGAAGTGCCTTTTATTATTATTATTATTGCTGTTATGATGATGGTGGCATTTAAAATCATCTGCCAAGTGCCTCTCTGCAGGAGAGCTAGGCACATCACCTCCCCACCCATCAAGGTGACTGCACAGGGGTTGTCACCAACGTCAAGTTTCTTGATGAGGCGGCAACGACGCAAATGTCAGCTGGGGAGGGTTCCCTGACCCGCTAATGGGCAGAGCCTACTTTCCTCTTCGGGGCACTCTCACGTTTTCTCAGCGGGTAAAGCCCTCACCCTCTTCTGACAATTATTACTTCGTGTCAAAAGGTTGCCGTGCTGAGCTGTCCAACTCTGACAACAGAAGACAGAGCAGCCCCTGTCAATCTCTGGGCCATGAGGCTCTGGCAGGGGGTTAAAGGTTCTGGAGTTTTCTGTGGAAAGACATAACATCCTCTTTCCTGTGCTCCCTGGCAGCAGCCTCCCACGAGAGACCTCACCAGCCCGCAGTGTCACTGTGTGCTGGAGCCACGGCCTTCGATGCTGGCACTGTCTTGGCGCCTGGCTCTACATCATGACAGTGTGACAAGGAAGACAGGCTGCCTGCTGACCATCTTTGGGACAGAGAAGCTTAATATCCTGGGATTTGTTCAAAAAGGAATTGGAAATGGCTTCTTGCTCCCTGTCATGAAAAATGACCTATATAAAATCCAGGCTTTCTGCAGGTGTAGAAAGGGAGGAACAAAGGCGGAGACAGGAGGGTTGGTTGAGGACAGGAATTCTAGACCAGCCTGGGCAACATAGCAAGAACTCATCTCTATAAACAATTTAAAAACAAGGCCAGGTGTGGTGGCTCACATCTGTAATCTCAGCACTCTGGGAGGCTGAGGTAGGCAGATTGCTTGAGGACAGGAGTTCAAGACTAGCCTAGGTAAGATAGCAAAACCCAATCTCTACAAAATATTTAAAACATAGCTCAGCCACGGTGGCTCACACCTGTAATCCCAGCACTCTGAGAGGTTTAGGTGGGCAGATTGCTTGAGGATAGGAGTTTGAGACCAGCCTAGGCAACATAGCAAGATCCCATCTCTACAAAACATGTAGAAATTAGTTGGGTGTGGTGCTGAGTGCCTGTAGTCCCAGCTACTCCAGAGGCTAAGCTGGGATGATCATTTGAACCCAGGGGTTTGAGGCTTCAGTAAGCTATGATCATGCCACTGTCCTCCAGCCCAGGTGACAGAACAAGACCCTGTCTCTAAAATAATAAAAATAAATAAAGGGAGGGCCAAGGGCCATCCTTTGACCCCTACACTGCATCCTTCTCATGTAGTTCATGATGCACCCATGGCGTGGTTCCTGTTGCACCTGCCCTTCTTGGAAGGGTTGGTTCATCTGTGAGGAAAGTAGAGGGTCCTCGAGTGAGGCCAAGGGTGGCTGAGGGCAGTGGGTCTTCAGAAAGAGGTCACTAAAGTGAGAGGGACCAGCCTGGCTCCAAGAAGCAGCTCCTCTGGGAGAAGCTGGTAGAACTTCCAGGTCCAAGCTCAAAAGCACCAGTGACATTCAATTCCACCCTGTCACTTCTCCTGCCCCACTCTGTGTGCACAGCAGCGTGGCCCAGAGGAAGTGCAGTGGCTTCCTGGCAATGCTGAGACCCACCCTCTGTGTGTGAACCCATTTACATGATGAGTGGAATGAAGGTGGCTGATCACAGCAAAGGCTAATATGACTGGAAGGCTCACTGTGTGCCCAAAAGATGCTTTTCACATGGATTATTCCATTTCTATCATTCCTTTAGCCCGTGCTTGGACACCTGCTGTGTGCTGGCACCATTCTAGGTGCTGCAATATGGCAGTGGATAAAAAGACCAAGACTCGTGGTGAAACAAAACATGGTCTATCCATGCAATGGGATATTATTCAGCCTTAAAAAGGAAGGAAATTCTACCCATGCTACAACATACATGCACCTTGAAGACATTACGCTAAGTGAAATAAGCCAGACATAAAAGGATAAATACTGTATAATTCTACTTACAGGAGTCCTCCCCTGGAGTAGTCAAACATCATAGAGACAGAAAGTAGAATAGTGCGTGCTGAGGGCTGGAAGGAGAGGGGATGAGGAGTTGTTTAATGCGTGCAAGAGTTTCGATTTGAGAAGATGAAACAGTTCTGGAGGTGGATGGCAATGATGGTTGCATAACAAGGTGAATATGCTTCATGCCCCTTGTATTAGTCTGTTCTTATGCTGCTAATAAAGACATATCCAAGACTGGGTAATTTATAAAGGAAAGAGGTTTAATGGACTCACAGTTCCACATGGCCGGGGAGGCCTCACAGTCATGGTGGAAGGCGAAGGAAGAGCAAAGGGATGTTTTACACGGTGGCAGGCAAGAGGACATGTGCAGGGGAACTTCCATTTGTAAAACCATCAGATCTCCTGAGACTTACTACCATGAGAACAGTACAGGGGAAACCTCCCCCATGATTTGATTATCTCCACCTGGCCCTGCCCTTGACACATGGGGATTATCACAATTCAAGGTGAGATTTGAGTGGGGACTTAGCCAAACTATACCACCACTGAACTATATGCTTAAAAATGGTTCTGATGGTAAATTCTATGTGTAATGTGGTGTAATTTTTAAAGAGACAACATATGTCCTCTAAGGGTCCGTGCTGCTGTGGGGATGTCTCTAGTCTAGCGGCTTACACTTAATTTGGAAGTTGGAGTGGGTGATAAAATGCCTGCAAACCCCAGTGATGGCTAAGGATCCTGGCCCAGAGGGAGAAACACACCCCAGTCCGCCCTGGGAGGGCTTTTGCACCAGGCCTGCTGGCTCTTCATTGACTGCCCCCATCCCACACAGGCCACGCCCCCCAATCCCTTTGTCTCTTTCCAGGGTGGCATCATCTGACCGTTGATTCTTGACCTTGACCACACACTTGACTCAACTGAAGAGCTTTAAAAATTACTGACATTTGGGTCCCATCCCCTGAGGTTCTGATGTCATGATTTGAGTGCCACTTGGGTTATAGGGGTTTTAAAAGCCCCCAGGACCTCATAATGTGCAGTCAGGGCCGAGATCATGGCCTCCTCAAGGCCAGCTGCCTTTGCCACGGCACAGTACCTAGGAGCCCTGATACTTGGAAGGGCTCACAGAAATATTTTAATCTTCATTTTTTTTTAAATCAGAAGAAAAGAATGAACTCTTAGGTTGAAGAAAATGTCATAGCTAATATTTATACATTTGTCTTAGGCTGGGTGCAGTGGATCATGCCTGTAATCCCAGTACTTTGGGAGGCCAGGGTGGGTGGATCACCTGAAGTCAGGAGTTTGAGACCAGCCTGGCCAACATGGCGAAACCCTGTCTCTACCAAAAATACAAAAATTAGCCTGGTGTGGCTGCAGGTGTCTGTCATCCCAGCTACTTGGGAGGCTGAGGCAGGAGACTTGCTTGAACCTGGGAGGCAGTGCACTCCAGCCTGGGCAAGAGAGTGAGACTCCATCTCAAAAATAATAATATGTATACCTTTGTCTTTATACCAACACAGTCATGAAATATTTTCATTCTTTTTGGAGGAAGGGCTCATGAAGGTCATGGGGCGGACACTGTCTGCCATGACCCTGCTGTCCTCAGTGCCCCATTCAGAGCTTTGCAGCCACTAGGCACAGAATGAGTGGAGGGACGCACAGAATGAAATAGTACTAAGGACAATGAAACCCTTCAGGATGGAGGGAGATGCTGGCATGAAGTCTCCTGGAGCGAACCCTGCTAGTGGATCTGGAGAGGCGAGGCTGTGAAGAATAAGGAGTGAAGGTAAGATTGAGGAGAGAGCTACCTAAGCATGATACACAGGGTGTCTCACAGGGGGTTCAGGAGTGTCTCTCTGTATCTCTGTCATTCTCTGTCTCTTTTCTCTGTCTCTCTTTCAATGTGAACTGCAAACTTTGTTCAGTTTGAAGCAGAAGAATTTAGGATGAATGTTAGGGAAGACTCCCAGAACCTACAAATTATCCAACACAAGAAAGGATTAATAGCCTGGACAGCATAGTGAGACCCTATATCTACAGAAAATGAAAAAACAGCCAGGCATAGTGGGGCCACCTGTAGTCCCAGCTACTGGGGAGGCTGAGGAAGGAGGATTGCTTGAGCCTGGGAGATTGAGGCTGCAGCGAGCTATGTTTGCACCACTGCACTCCAGACCCTGTCCCCAAAAAATAAGAAAAGGAAAGGATTATTTCCCAGCGGGGCTGGGTCTAGGTGAGTCAGGTCAGGAGTCCAGGTGCACGATCTTAGGAGACCCCCAGACTAGCTTGAGTCTTGCGTAGCCCCTCATGTTTGTACCCGGAACACCTCACTGGCCTGCCCTTGTCACTGGCCTGCCCTGGTCCAGTGATGTTTTCTGGGGTCCTCTGAGTGTGCCTTGGTGTGGATGCAGGGTCTGGATGTGATAACTCAGTAAGCTCTGTTCCTATGGACAATGGCAGCCTTCCTGAGAACACTGGAGAGGATCTCGGCCTTTGGCTCATTTAAAAATAATTGGAGTAAACCAGCAAGCTGAGGTTAAAGAGTCTCCTGGGACTCCAGCGGAAGCAACCTCAGCTGGCTGTTCTGAGCCTGGATTTCCACGGCACTCGGTAGGGAGGAATGCTTTAAGAATTCTGCAGTCAGAGCCTCCTGGGAGGCCTGGCTCGGGTGGCACCTGCCTCTTTGCGGTGGCTCAGGTGCCCCGGCTGAGATGCCTGGTAGGGCGTGCTGTGGGAGGTGAGCCTGCCTATGTCACTTGCTCTGGCGAGAAGCACAAAGCCCGTTGTATTTATATGTTAGGAATCAAGGCAGCTGTCGTGTGTTTTCACGGCACGTGTACCAGCGTCTGTCACAGTCAGATCTGTTCCCTGGAGGGTGGGGCGAGGACAAGACTCCCTGGTACCAGTGGGGAAACTGAGCCTCAGGGCCATGAGGGACTGGGTGCGGGGGTCTCTGGAGTGGCAGGGCTGGCACCTGGGGGAGTGCTGGTGCTGTCAGGAGCCTGTGATGGAGCAGGGGCCGGCATTAGCATTTGACCTGGGGCTGCGCAGTAGTTAGTGTTATCAGGCGCTGACTCGTGTTTCTTTTTTTTTTTTTTCCTTCTTTTTATTATTATTATTATACTTTAAGTTTTAGGGTACATGTGCACAACGTGCAGGTTAGTTACATACGTATACATATGCCATGCTGGTGCGCTGCACCCACTAACTCGTCATCTAGCATTAGGTATATCTCCCAATGCTATCCCTCCCCCCTCCCCCCACCCCACAACAATCCCCAGAGTGTGATGTTCCCCTTCCTGTGTCCATGCGTTCTCATTGTTCAATTCCCACCTATGAGTGAGAACATGCGGTGTTTGGTTTTTTGTTCTTGCAATAGTTTACTGAGAATGATGATTTCCAATTTCATCCATGTCCCTACAAAGGACATGAACTCATCATTTTTTATGGCTGCATAGTATTCCATGGTGTATATGTGCCACATTTTCTTAATCCAGTCTATCATTGTTGGACATTTGGGTTGGTTCCAAATCTTTGCTATTGTGAATAATGCTGCAATAAACATATGTGTGCATGTGTCTTTATAGCAGCATGATTTATAGTCATTTGGGTATATACCCAGTAATGGGATGGCTGGGTCAAATGGTATTTCTAGTTCTAGATCCCTGAGGAATCGCCACACTGACTTCCACAATGGTTGAACTAGTTGACAGTCCCACCAACAGTGTAAAAGTATTCCTATTTCTCCACATCCTCTCCAGCACCTGTTGTTTCCTGACTTTTTAATGATTGCCATTCTAACTGGTGTGAGATGGTATCTCACTGTGGTTTTGATTTGCATTTCCCTGATGGCCAGTGATGGTGAGCATTTTTTCATGTGTTTTTTGGCTGCATAAATGTCTTCTTTTGAGAAGTGTCTGTTCATGTCGTTCGCCCACTTTTTGATGGGGTTGTTTGTTTTTTTCTTGTACATTTGTTTGAGTTCATTGTAGATTCTGGATATTAGCCCTTTGTCAGGTGAGCAGGTTGTGAAAATTTTCTCCCATGTTGTAGGTTGCCTGTTCACTCTGATGGTAGTTTCTTTTGCTGTGCAGAAGCTCTTTAGTTTAATTAGATCCCATTTGTCAATTTTGTCTTTTGTTGCCATTGCTTTTGGTGTTTTAGACATGAAGTCCTTGCCCATGCCTATGTCCTGAATGGTAATGCCTAGGTTTTCTTCTAGCTTGCATCCTTGCTGGGAACCTCCTCCTGCTCTCAGCCCCACCAAGCCCCGGGCGTGGTTGACCCATTATTGAAGATCAGTGCTGAGCCACGCGTCAGCCGGTTGGAAAGAGCCCCTTCCCCAGCAGCCACTTCCTTTAATCAGTAAACACCTGCACCCCAATTGTCTGCCCTAGTGTTAAAGAAAAAAATGATTCAGTGACATTCAGTAAAGCACAGGAAGGAAGCCGTCATTCAGGATGTGGTGACAGACATGGAGACTGCAGCAGTGGGGTTGTGCCATGGGGCAGAGAGATCGGGCTCACCTCTGAATGCAGCCTGGGCCAGTGGCGTTTATAGTCACAGAGCAGCGTAAGGGGAGTGGGCGTCGGTGGATGGAGAATTACTAAGAGGAACATCAGAGGGAAGGGGGATTCTGGCCAAACCCACCTAGCAGGATTCTTTTTTTAATTTGATTTTTGTGGGTACTTAGTAGGTGTACCTACAAGATTTATGGGGTACATGAGAAGTTTTGATACAGGCATGCAATGCATAATAATGACATCAAGAACAATGGGGTATGTATCCCTTCAAGCATTTATCCTTTGTGTTATAAACAATCCAGTGATGCTTTATTTTTAAATGTACAATTATTATTGACGATAATTGCCCTGTTGTGCTATTAAATACTAGACCTTATTCATTCTACTATTTTTTTTGTAGCTATTAACCATCCTTATCTCGCCATGCACCCCCTTACTACACTTTCCAGCCTGTGGTAACCATCCTTCTACTCTCTATCTCCTTGAATTCAACTGTTTTGATTTTTAGATCCCACAAATAAGCGAGCACATATAATGTTTGTCTTTCTGTGCTTGGCTTAATTCACCTAACATGTTGACCTCCAGTTCCACGCACCTTGTGGCAAACTACAGGATCTCATTCTTTTTCATGGCTGAGTAGTACTCCATTGTGTATAGGTACCACAGTTTCTCCATCTGTTCATCTGTTGATGGACACTTAGCTCTTGCAGGGCTCTTGCCAAAAGCAGGCCAGGGTGATCACACATCACCTAGGGGGTGGTGGAGGATGAGGAAGGACCCTGATCAGATCTCAAGGGTGATCAGATGTCTGGGGTGGGGGGTTCTTTCTGAAACTGGATTTTATAAGGAGGTGTACAGATGAGCCTCGGAGAAGGTTCAGGAGCCTGATTACAGTTTAGCCAAGCAGAGAATCTTTGTCATCAGTATGTTCCCAAGTCGAATATACATTTTGTAGGGAGGGTGTCTGTTCCTTTAACATCCTGTAAAGCAACCTGAGACCCCATTTACACTCAGCTGGAGAGAGAGCACAGCCCCTCCCCAGGCATTCTGAGGTGCTTTCCTCTAGAATAACAGGGGGTCCGCTCCCCACCCTTCCACAATCCACGCTGCAGCAGCCTCCTTTTCTGAGGCTCCTCCCGCCTCAGTTCCTGTGTGGCCAGAGCCCTGGGATGTGGCCCACTTCTTTGTCCCCTGAAGCACACCAGCCCAGGGCCTCTTCCTGCTGACTTCAGAGGCGGATTCATCGCCCTGCTGATGGTGACAACTGGAAATGCAGCCGTCCATGTCCTCAGGAGCCCCTCTTCTTGGGGGTGCCGTCCTGATTCCTTTTCTTAATTCCAGCACCCTGCCTCCCAGTCCTCCAGGGAAAGATCCAAGTCTTGCTGCTTGAATTGCAGTTCTTTACACAGAGCCTTTCAATCCTGCTTTGACTGAATCCCTTTTATCTGGGTGAGGCCTTTGCAGGGAGGGGCAGGCAAGTCTTTTAAACCCAAAAGACCCAAGAAAGCCTATCAAAAGCCCAAGAAAGCCCATTTTTCCCCAAAACAAAAGATCACCCACCCTGAAGCTCAATTTTGTCACTTCCCATGAGAGCCCACAGTTGGGCTTTGTTTGAAAGGGAGTTCGTTTTCCCTTCTGCACAGCAGTCACCAGGAACTGCCTGTGGACTCAGCCTGGAGACAGGCCCCGGGGAGCCAGGGAGGGCCGTGGGTGGGCCTCGCGCATCAGTTGCCTTTCTGGGTTTTGTGGTGGCCCTGTGGCTGGGCGGAGCTGTCCTTTTCTGGGGAGCAGAGGCCATCCCTGCTGAGGGTTTAACCTCGTTGCTGCCCGTGGGCTGGTTCTTTGACCGTGAAGTTCTGCATTGAGTTCAGCTTTGGTTGCTGGCCTGACTGCCACATCTGGGTGGGGAAGCTTTCTCTAGTCATTTAATGGCTTTCTCTTTGTTCCAGATGGGGGCCACATCTGGTTTAGAAAACCGAGAGCCCCAGGGAGACTGTCATGGGATCTCTGCAAAGATTAGGGTCGTCGTCCTCCCATGTTGTGGCTGAAGTCTCAGGGAGGGGCACAGCCTCAGGAACGCTGAGTGATTCTAAGAGAGGACAGGCTGGGAGACTGGCCTCCTGCAGGGTGTTGGTCATGTGTGCACACATGCACACATGTGCATGCACACACAGTCACACATATATGACTATGCACACACATACACATATATGTGCAAGAATGCACAAATGCTTGTGCACACGTGCACAGATGCCAGTATGCACACACGGACACATACGTGCACACTTACATACCTGTATGATCCCTATACGCACAAGCACATGCATGCACACCCATGTACACGTGCACCCACAGATACACATACACACACAGACAAATATAAAGACGTGTGAGTGTGTGCACCAGGTACGCACACGTAAACACACCCTAAAGCCAGCTCTGCCACAGCCACTGTCATGCACTGTCATGCCCAGGGTCTGTTTGCTGACCATTGCAGCTTCTGAAAGAGCAGTTCCTGAAGTGTCTTCTCCCCAGGTGAGTGGTTGTTCATGAAAATGGCTGTAACAAAGTATGGGTGCCCGGGCAGGTTTTTATGGGATGGGAAGAAGATGAGGTCTGAAGAGGTCAGGGAAATGGAAGGATTTGAGCTGGGTCTTAGGTAGGATTGGAATAAGCAGAAGAAGCGTGAGGCTTTTAAGATAAAGGGGGCTGTGGAAGTGATGGTTGATGAGGAAGTTCGTAACTCGGGTGAGAGCAGGCTGGCTGGGCTGGGGTGGAAGATGCATAGGAGGACAGTCCAGACTAGGTGGGTAAGGTGGGGCCAGACCAAAGGGGGCCCAAATGTTTGGGTGATGGGATGGACTTTAGGAGCCACTGATGTTTCTTGGAAAGAGAAGGAAGAAAAGGAATGCCGCCTCCTGCCATGCTCTTACTGTTTGTTAGTTTCTAAGCTGGATGCTTTAATAGGCATTTATGAAAATGGCTGCAACAGAGTGTGTGTGCCCAGAGAGGACTTTACTGGATGGGAGAAAAGAGGATTTGTTTCATCTTTCCCACAGTGCTGTAAGGTGAGATATCATTACTCCTATTTTTACACATGAGGTAACTGAGGCTGAGAAAGGTGATGTAAGTGGCCAGGGTTACATAAGTTGTCATGGATTTAGCCAGTTTTCAAACTCAGCTCTCCCAGTTCTGAAGCTCATGCGTGTTCTTTCCCTCCCGAGAAGAGAAACAGAGCTAAAATTTAATTTAGAGAAAGATTAATCTAGCTGCAGCAAGGACGCAGAGAGCTTGGAGGCTGGGGTCAGGGGACCTGCTGTTGAAATAAACAAGAACGAGATGAATGTGCAAGAGAGGCCTGGAGCATCTCATCACACCAGAAAAGCAAAGAGCCTACCGAAGTGGACGCTGGAGCCAAAATAGTTCCTACTGGCCAAAGATGAGGTGATTCAAGCACCAGTGAGGACTGTAGCTGCAAGGGATTGGTTACAATGGATTAAAACGCATCAGATATGTTGAAATTCAAACCTTGATAATGGCACTAAAAATGATACCCACGTCGACCACTTTTGGAAGATGCTGGGAAAACCATTCAGTATTTGGGGAACTGGTATAAGAAGAGAAAGAATCAAACATTCCTTCTGCTTTTTCGATTATGGAATAAATATTCCGTATCTCCAAGTGTCTGTCTTTTTAGAAGCACTCTAGCTAATAAATGAGGAAGGAATTGTAGGGTTAGATCAACACCATTTGACAACCTCGAATGAATGAATGGATCTGGGCGATGATCATCGATGTCTACTGATAACACAAGAGCTGATCAAATACTATGCACCACCCAGCGGAAGAAACATCACCACCTTTGAAGTTCCTCGACAAAAAGAATCATGCCTGAATCAGATGAAGTCTCTAGGGTTACACATCAACTTACCAGAAATTCAAGGGACCAAGGAACATATTAAATGACATCTTGGGGATGACATCAGCAAAGGCCAGACTACAGGATCATTGACTGGATACTTGATAATATTCAGAAATGGATACCATTATTATTTATTTTTGAGACAGAGTCTCCCTCTGTTGCCCAGACTGGAGTGCAGTGGCATGATCTCAGCTCACTTCAACCTCCACTTCCCGGGCTCAAGTGATTCTCCTGCCTCAGCCTCCCGAGTGGCTGGGACTATAGGCATGCACCACCACGCCCAGCTAACTTTTGTATTTTTAGTAGACACAGGGTTTCACCATGTTGGCCAGGCTGGTCTTGAACTCTTGACCTCAAGTGATCCGCCTGCCTCGGCCTTGCAAAGTGTTGGGATTACAGGTGTGAGCCACCGCACCCAGCAAGAGATGGATATCATTTTTAAAGGGATGATAATGGTATTGTGGATATGTATTAAGAAAACTCTGATCTTTTTCCAGATGCATTTATAAATATTTATGGATGAAACGATATGGTGTCTGGGGTTGGGGAAATGAAAGGGAGATATGGATGAAACAAGGGTGGCCATGTGTTGAAAATTGTTGACTTTAGGTGATAGAAGTTCATTGGGTTCTTTTTTCTATTTCTGTGTATGTTTTAACAAGCGCATCAAGTGGAGAGGTCATGTTGCTGCAGTGAGGTTGGAAAAGTAGTGCATGAGGAAGCATTTCTAGAAGGGAAAGATTAATGAAGCAGAGCTGGATCCAGGGCATGAAGTCGAGGATGAGGCACTGTTGAGTCCAAGCCCTCGACATCCGCCCATCAGGGCTCTGCCAAGAGTGTGGCCTGGCATGGCTCAGGTTCCCACGGAGCTAGGTCCTGACTGCAGACAAGCTCCTCTGCCTTTGGGGAGCTGAGAAATGTTCTCAGCCCAGCTGGGAAGATTGCCTGCCAACTCTTAATGATCTGTTCAGTACTCCCAGCTCCAATGTCATCCACTCTGTGAATCCTCCCAGATCCCTCCCAGGCAGAGGCAGTCATTTCTTCCTCTGGGCTCCCCAGGCACCTGGCTTAGGCCTCCTGTTCTGTGCAGTCTGGCTTGCATTTCAGTGGGTTGTGGTTAGTCCCTTGTCCCCGGTGCTGAGTGTGCTCCCAGGGCAGGGTCCATGCAGGAGCCGAGAGTCCTCCACACAGGAGGCCTGTGGATTACGACCCTCTTTCCTCTGGCAGGTGAGGACAGCCAGGGATAGACACTGTGGAAAGCCTGCCCCGATGAGGTCTGAAGCTTGCCCCCATCCCACATGGTCAGGGAGAGGCTCAGCCAGAATCGAGACCCTTAGCTGTTTCTATGGTCCCCTGCGCTGTGGCTTCTGACTCCCTTTCTCAAAGTCAAGTGCATTGAGGACCTTGGATCAAAATGATCCCAAAGGCCCTTCCCATCGGGGCATTTTCTGGGTCCCTCACATGCTACTCTGGGGTCTCAGAAGATGAGTGCCTCTGTGCTGGCTGCTGGCAGGGGCCAGGCTCGGGTGGTGAAACAGATGACTGCGTACATCTTGCCCTGGGAACCTGCAGAGAAGGTACAGCCCATGGAGAGAGCTCAGGTGGGGAGCATGAAGTGAGAAGGCCCAGGAGCCAGGGACGCGGTCACATGCCACTTTCGGAATCCCCTTTCTGCTCTGATTTTGGGAAGCTGGGCCATCTCGGGTGTCATTTTATACAACTGCTGCTGAACTCAAGCGGCCTCCCTGGGAGCATCGAAGTCTTGGATTCATTCCAACCTGCGTGATTGCATTGCGCCTGTTAAACTCCCTCCACAGCCTCCGTTGGATACTGTTTTCATTGAATTTGCTTTTTCAGATCAGTTTTCGGAGGGGCATCTGCAGACAGCACGCTACCCAAAGCTGTCTCAGTGTGGAGGCCCAGAACAGAACCCCAGGCCGTGCTGACACAGGTTTCGGGAGCTCCTGGCCATATCCCCACTGCTGGGGACCAGGAGCCCTGGGGGACAGCTGCTGGTGGGCAGGACTAGGGGATGCTGCGGGCCTCCCTGCCCATTTGTCCTTATCCAGCTCAGGGAAGAATGACTCATGAAGGGGTCAGAGCAAGTGGGGCTGCAGGGCTGAGCCACACACTCATGGTGTGGGCCCGGCTGGGCGTCAGGGGTCAGGACTGGCCCTGCTCAGCCTGGCCGTGTGACTTTGGGCAGGGGGTGCTGTCCAAATTAGATATCCCTGAGGTCTCTCCTAATTTTAACAGGATGCCTTTCAGCATCTTGGAATTGTCTCAATACTGTGAAGTCAGGAAGCTCCCTCCAGGCCAGCGGGTCAGAGGTGGCCCATGAGGCTCCCTGGCTCTGTGGCCATCAAGTCGGGGTGCAATGAGCAGACAGGGGCCTCCAGCCTCCCGTAGCCAGCAGGACCAGAGAGCATCCAGTCCAATCACAGTTGGCAAGCCTTCCAGAGCTGCAGGTCCTTCTTGAAACTCTGTCTGTAACACAGAGACACGTGCAGCTGCTTGGTAGACTCAATCCCCTGCCTGCCATGGCATTGACTCATGGATCTTGGCTGTTGCCTGCAGGGGCAGTTTGGGCTCTGAGCATGCGTGAAACCAGGTCCACTCTGCCACCCTCAGGCACGTAGGCCCGTCTTCGAATCCTGGGGGGAGGGAGAGGGCGTCCTCAAGGCACAGCTTGAATCCAGAGACTTCAGTCCAATTCCCTCATTCTGCAAGTGGGAAATTGAGGCTGGAGGTCCCACAGCCTGTCAGAGGGCAGACCAGGACCAGAACCTGGCTCCTACCACCTGTCGAAGTTTCTCCCGTGGCACAGCCAGCCCGTTCTCTGTCGCATGCAGCGACCGACCGAGAGCTCTGGGAAGGGTAGATTGGGAGATTTCTCACCTGCTTCCTCAGTGCCTGCTGCCTCAGGGGCCCGTGCAGGTTTGTTGAGTGAAGTGGAGCTAACCACGTGGCTGTGGAATTGTGGGCATGTCGGGGAGGGAGCTGCCGGAGGTTCTGAGGCCTGGAGAGGCTAGTCCCCACGTCTGACCTCAGAGTGGGACGCCACACTCACCAAGAGAAAGATGGCATTTCTATGCAGGACCCCAGTGAATAGATGGAGGATCTGCTCGGCCACCGTTCTCCTGAGCTGACTGTGCCTGGATCTCTGCAGGCAGCTGGGATGACACCTGCCCCTGAGGACAGCCAGTGGCTGCAGATATGTGGGGCCAGGCCCTGCACACAGGGTTGTGCTGGGAGCATCTTGATAAACTTGCATTTTTACTGTAGTCCAGTCACCGTCAACATTCTTCACCGGCCCTGGAGAGGGGAACCTCATCCAGAACCCGTGGTTCTGTGGTATGAGTCTACATAAACCAGGCAACTCCTGGCAGACTTCACTTTTCCTGGCCAGCAGCCCCCTGACCCCCACCTAGCTTCTACAAGCCTCTTCTGGCTCCAGAGGTCTCACACGCCCTTGTCTACAAGTGGAATGAATGATGGAATCTTCTGGAATGATAGATTCTGGAACTCTGAGCTTCGGTCTCTGGAATGCGTGGATGAATGTCTGTTCTGTTTATAGGCACGTCTCCCTGAGTCCAGGCTTCATGCTGTAGCTATCCCATGGTCAGGAGAAAGTTCTCTCAAAACACTAAAAACTTGGTGGCTTTAGTCGGTGGCCTTTTCCTCCTCATTTCCGTTTAGTGAAGTAGTAGAGGGGTCACTTTCCCTTCTAAACTTTCTCATGGGCCATTAGCGGGAGGAGATGTTCCATGATCTGAGCCCTAATGAGTCCAGGAACTGGAGAGAGAAGGACCTGTGGGGGTGATGTAATTGGAAAGTCAATGGCCCAGTTATTCTAATGGGCTTTAATCTGGACCCTGGTGCCCACAGAGGGGGTGTCTTGTTGCAGTCAGACATCAGAGTGGTACTGGGGGCATGGGGACACGGTGCTAGGAGGGCCAGAGGCAGTGAGGGAGAGACTCTGCTCTAAGGCAGCTTCCTGTTGTTTTTGCTCATAACAGTCTCCTTCCAATTACCCAGGTCCAGACAACAGCTCAGTGGCTTTAATGACACTCCTCCAGCTCTTACAGTTAATTCAAAATGTTCTGGAGGAAAACTCTGGCTTGCCTGTGGGTAGCTCGATGTCCTATTTCCATGAAGTAATAGATGGTTCCTGTCTACTATTCTAGATACCAAGTAGCCACGGGGCATGGGTGGCCGTCTTAGGACAAATCTCATAAAAAGTAACAGCCCGGATTTGGATGTCTATTGCCAAACATATTGGGTTTTCACTCATTTGTTCATTTATGAATTCATTCATTCAACCTAGACTCAGGATCTACATAAAATATCCCTCTAAGCATTTCCCCTACCCACCCCCTAAGGGGGTTCCATGGCTCCAATTATGAGCTCTGGTTGCTCTTGTTGGGGGAAGGACTGTCCCTTCTTATCCCTGAAGCCCGTGTTCCCTGTCACCTCCTCAGGATCCATGGCTCTGTCACCATGGTGCTCTTCTCCTGCATCCTTTTTTGTTTTGTTTTGTTTTTTGTTTTGTTTGTTTGTTGTTGTTGTTTTTTGAGAGAGTCTTCTGCGGTTGTCCAGGCTGGAGTGCCGTGGTGCAATCTCGGCTCACTGCTACAACCTCTGCCTCCCGGGTTTAAGTGATTCTTGTGCCTCAGCCTCCCGAGTAGCTGGGATTACCGGCATGCACCACCATGCCTAGCTAATATTTGTATTTTTAGTAGACACAGCGTTTTACCATGTTGTCCAGGCTGGTCTCGAACTCCTGACCTCAAGTGATCCGCCTGCCTCCGCCTCCCAAAGTGCTGGGATTACAGGCGTGAACCACTGTAACGCAAAGGTTCTTGCCTTAGCCACGCCAAAGAATTGGTGTGGCGGCTGCCTGCAGCGAGTGATAGAGACATGGACCAATAGAGAGAAAAAGCTGTAGGCTTTATTGAGCAGAGTGAAAGTACAAAGCTTCCACAGCCTGGAAGGGGTCCCGAATGGGTAGCCATTGTTGGTTTTGGGTAAATGCCTTTTAAGCTCTTTACGGTGGGAAATATGGGAGGCGGGAAGACGTTACTAGAACGAGAAACAAAGGCAGTAAATTATTTTGTGACATGCCATAGATTTTGAGGAAAATCAAAATTGCAACTTAGGTTTTATCTATTTTATGACCTTGCAGCGGCATGGCAAAGGAGTCAGGATCTCACAGGATTTTACAAAGTATGTTTACAAGGAATTGGAATTGGGAGTAGAGATAAGGTCCGCTGGTCACAGAAAAACAGGCAATTAACGTTTGTTTTA
Source organism: Homo sapiens (assembly GCF_000001405.40). NCBI lineage: Eukaryota > Metazoa > Chordata > Mammalia > Primates > Hominidae > Homo > Homo sapiens. The sequence goes on along the minus strand of NC_000010.11, from coordinate 11,393,984 downwards.
CTTTAGTTTTGGGGGAGAGGGAAAGGAGAGAGGGAGAAAGGACACAGGGAAACTTACAGCAAAATTTTCGCTGTTTATAGCTTTCTTGGGGAAGAAAACACATGTACAAATCTGGGCGTTAGGAATATTTTAAGCATATATCTTCAATATTATTCATCCAGGACCGAAGGAAGTCCTGAAGCAGGAAATGAGTGAGTTTCACAGCTTTCTGAGCCCCTACTCGACCCAGGAAGCCCAGCTGCCCGCTCCTTTCTCCACCGTGCCCGGCCTTCTGTGTCTTTCATGTATGTTCATGTCTTTTCTCTCATAAAAGTTCCTTCAGGATTCCTAACTTCTCCAGTTATGTCTCCTCTCTCCTCCCATTCCCAGCCAGGGTTGTTCCCTACCTTCTCTTCCCACAAAAGTTTGGCTTTCAATCCTACATGGCCCTGAAATGACTTTCACCCAGGCCACCAGTGCCCCCTGTATAGACACATGCCTTGGGCGCTCCCCACCCTTCCTCGCGTGGCCACACCTCTGTGGTGACCACTCTTCTCTGGGAATTCTCCGTCCCCTGCCTCCGGAGACACCACACTCTCTGGGTTTCTGCCTCTCTCATGGCTCCTCCCTGACGTCTCCTCTTCTCAGCCCTTCAGTCCTGTGCTCCCTGGGGCTCTGTCTTGTTTCTTCCTCTCCCCATCGCTAGGGCTCCAGTTTCCATATGTGTCCCAACATCACCCCGAAAACAGCATCTCCCCAGGTCTCCCTCTCCTCCCCAGCGCTCTATTTTGGTATCTCTATTTGGGTCTGTCAAATTTTGCATTTCTCTTGCCATCTCCAAAAATCAGCATCTCCGTCCCCATCGTTGTTTCCTATCTTCTTCCCAAATCCCCCCCTGAACTTTTCTGTTTCTGGCCTCCATGCCTTCCATCCACTCAGTAACTCACAGCAACAGATTCTAGTCCCGAGATTCCCTCTTGTGCATCCAGTCCTCCCACCACACAGTGCGCAGTGCTCTCTCCGGCCCCCGTCACCGTCACCGGCCACCTGCACTGCCCACAGCACTTGGTCTCGCAGCACCCGCCATGCCCCCTCCAGCTCTTTACCCACCATGTAAACAGAAGGGCCTTTCTACAATGCAGTTTCTCATGTCACTCTTCTGCTGGAAACCCTTCAATGATTTTAGAGTCACCATTAAGACAGGTGAAATATTTCAGACTTTACCAGACCCTTCACGACCACAGTCTGCTCTTCTCCAGCTATTTTTTTCTTTCTAGAACATTTGATATGGTTTGGTTGTGTCCCCACCCAAATCTCATCCTGAATTGTAGCTGCCATAATTCTCACATGTTGTGGGAGGGAGCTGGTGGGAGATAATTGAATCGTGGGGGTGGTTTCCCCCATACCATTTTCGTGGTAGTGGATAAGTCTCACGAGATTGGATGTTTTTTTGTTTGTTGGTTTTTGTTTTTATTTTTATTTTTTATCTTGAGATGGAGTTTCACTCTTGTTGCCCAAGCTGGAGTGCAATGGTGTGACCTCTGCTCACTGCAACCTCCGCCTCCCAGGTTCAAGTGATTCTCCTGCCTCAGCCTCCCAAGTAGCTGCAATTACAGGCGCCCGCCACCATGCCTGGATACTTTTCATATTTTTAGTACAGATGGGGTTTCACCATGTTGGCCAGGCTGGTTTCAAACTCCTGACCTCAGGTGATCTGCCTGCCTCAGCCTCCCAAAGTGCTGGGATTACAGGCATGAGCCACAATGCCCAGTCAAGATCAGATGGTTTTATAAGAGGTTTCCCCTTTTGCTTGGCTCTCATTCTGTCTTGCCTGCCATCATGTAAGACGTGACTTTCATCTTTGGCCATGATTGTGAGTTCCCCCCAGTCACATGGAACTGTGAGTCCGTAAAACCTCTTTTTCTTTATAAATTACCCAGTCTCGGGTATATAAAAGCAGCATGAAAATGGACTAATACAACATTCTTTTCAGGATCGGTCACCTGATCAACAACTAATAGCCTTATAGGCTATTTGTGTCCCTCCCAAAATTTATAGGGTGAAGTCCTAACCCACAGCATCTCAGAATGGGACTCTATTTGGAGAGAGGGTCTTTAAAGAGATAATGAAGTTAAAATGAGGTCATTAAGCGAATCTAGTAGGACTGGTGTCCTTCTAACAAGAGGAGATGAGGACACAGACATACACAGAGAGAAACCATGTGAGGACACAGAGACGGGACGGCATCTCCAAGCCAAGGAGAGAGTCCTCAGAAGAACCAGCCCTGCCGACACCTTGACCTTGGACTTGCAGCCTCCAAGATCATTGCAAGAAAATGCATTTGTGTTGCTGAAGCTGCCCATCTGTGGTATTTTGTTACTGCAGCCCAAGCAAACTAAGATGTAGGCTTTTTACATTTCACCTAGTCCAGGAGGCCTTCTTTTTCTCCATACCCTTGACTTCCCTTTTGTAGCTCTTCTTTTTTTAAAATTTTTAATTATTTGTGGGTAGATAGTAGGTGTATATATATTTATGGGGTACATGAGATGTTTTGATACAGGCATGCAATGTGTAATGATCACATCTTGGAAGATGGGATATTAATCTCCCCTCAAGCATTTATCCTTCATGTTACAAACAATCCAATGACTCTCTTTTATTTTTGAGACAGAGTCTCACTCTATCACCTAGGCTGGAGTGCCGTGGTGTGATCTTGGCTCACTGCAACCTCTGCCTCTCAGGTTCAAGCTATTCTCATGCCTCAGCCTCCTGAGTAGCTGGGATTACAGGCATACACCACCATGGCCAGCAATTTTTGTATTTTTAGTAGAAAAAGGGTTTCACCATGTTGTCCGGGCTGGTCTTGAACTCCTGACTTCAAGTGATCCGCCTGCCTCAGCCTCCCAAAATGCTGGGATTACAGGCATGAGCCACTGTGCCCAGCTGCTTTTAGTTATTTTTAAACATAGAATTAAATTGTTTTTGACTCTAGTTACCCTGTTGTGCTATCAAATACTGGGTCTTATTCTTTCTATTTTTTGTACCTATTAACCATCCCCACTTCCCACCCCCCACGGACCGTCCTCACTTCCTGCCCCACCCCCCACCCTTCCCAGCCTTTGGGAACCATCCTTCTACTCTCTATCTCCATTGTTTTTATTTTTAGCTCCCACTGCAACACTTTGTATGTGTGGAATCACTTCTTCAGTGGCTGGGTTCCTTGCAAGTCTTTGAGGTTCTATGAAAGTAGACACTGGTGCTAGTGCTGATGGGTGTATCTCAGTGCCTCACACATTCCTGCTGTCTGGAATCTTCCAGGCACCACATATGTGTGACTGACTGAGGAAACCAGTGGGCAGCATTGGAAACATCCAGGAAGATCCTTGGAGCCGGAAGACCGCCCACTTTGTGCAGGCTGCATTGACCACAGAATTGGAGCCCAACTATTGAGTTCCCGTGAGGGAGATGTAGGGACCAAGGAATAACTTCCCCTTCACCCTCTGGAGGTTCATTGAAAATTACTAGCAAGAGGTAGATTAATAGGAGAAAAGACATACAAATGTATGATCAGTGTGTTCACATGGGAGTCTTCAGAACGAAGAGCCCAAGATACAGGGGGAAGTGTCTGTTTTTATGCTTATGTTCAACAAAATATGGACAGCCACGTAAAAGTATGATTGGATGCAAAGGGTCTGATCTAATGCTAATAGACGGAGTGAGGACATCCAGCAAAGCCTGTCTCTCTAGATTCTTCTTGGCCTCTCTGAGTGGCGTTCCTTCCTTCCGGGTGTGGGCAGGACCCTCTCTTGAATGGGGGTCTTATGACTTACAGTCAAACACAGTAGCTCAGAGAATTTCTTTATGGCCTGCTTTTACAGAGAAAGGCAGAGGGAGAGTTAGAGTAGATTGTCAGGATTTATGACTGGCTTTGGGGAGAAGGGGTTCTGGATTATATGACCCGCTTTGTGGAAGAGAGGTTCCAGTTTCTATGCCTAGCTTTTGGGGAGAATGGGTCTGAGAGACAGGAGGTCAAGAGAAGGTAAAAAGAGAAAGCGTTTTGCGTCTGAGGCTGCTTCTGAGACCTTCATTTTGGGGTGTCATTTTCCGAACCCCAACAAAGGCAATGGGAACGTTGATTCCTAGATCTTGTCTATTTCCTTTTCACTGCTGATTGTTCAGGAATAAATGGAAGTGAAAGGAAGATTTGAAAATATCATTAAGGGGAATGGTGTGTGGATTTGGTGCTCAGATCCTATGTGGCCTCTTTAATGAGGCCTATTTGGAGAAGGACAGCTAAGAGGAAGGTGTTCATGGTGGGAGGTGAAGTCTGGGGGGTAGTGAGAGGCTGTCAGGAAGGAAGGTTGTGGTGTGGAGACTGTCCTCACTCAGGGTTCATTTTCCTCTAGAGTCTCCCTGGATAAGGAGGGTCCAACAGCCTGCCCCTGTGAGTAGCTCCTGAGTGAGGCAGGGATGTGGAGGGGAGGATTCCAGAGGCTTCCACGACACACACACCTCAGCATCTGTGTGACCATTTCTTCCTGCACTGTTTTTTCGGCTTTTCAAACTGAGGGTGCAGGAGACCCCAAGCTTCCTGAGAACAGGAAGATAAAAGGCTTCTCTTGTCCCCCTTTGCTCCTTTCCACATTTTCCCTTCCCCTTTTCCTGAACCTTCTCTTACCTCATCTCCTGCGCCATCTCTAGCCCAGGCGTGCTCCTCCAGGAGTGGGCTCCGGCCAGGCTGGCATCATACGACCGCTTCCTGCTGGTGTTGGATGGAGGAGGGCGTGTGGACCAACCACATTCTCGCTCTGGGACTCAGGAATGGCCAGGTGGCCCCTGCAGGCAGCTGCATGATGGGAAATGTGTGTCCAGTCCCAAGAGCCCCAAGGACTGCAGGGTTTTCGTGCACAGCCACATGGACTGAGAAGTGGAGAACTGGGCTGTCGGACAGGGAATGAGGCAGAGGTGGGGGAAGAGGGGAGGAAGAGACTGAGAATGGCCTGGGTTTCTGAAGATTCTCTAGTTCCTTCTTCCAGGACTTTCTGGAGGCCTACCTGTGTGAATTTCCTGAGTTATCCCCTCCGTCTTTATAGTATGTACCTCTTTTCTCCTAAGCTGGCTTGAGTTGGTTTCTTTTTTATTTATTTATTCATTTTGTTGAGATGGAGTTTTGCTCTTTTCACCCAGACTGGAGTGTAGTGGCATGATCTCGGCTCACTGCAACCTCTGCCTCCTTGGTTCAAGCGATTCTCCTGCCTCAGCCACCTGAGTAGCTGGGATTACAGATGCCCTCCATCACGCCCGGCTAATTTTTTGCATTTTTAGTAGAGACGTCTTTTCACCATGTTGGTCAGGCTGGTCTCGAACTCCTGACCTCAGGTAATCCACCCACCTTGGCCTCCCAAAGTGCTGGGATTACAGGCGTGAGTCACTGCGCCTGGCCTAGTTGGTTTCTTTCAGTACGACCAGAGGTCTCTGGCTGCCTCCCTTCTGTCCTTCTACTTTCCTTTGTTCTCTCTCCTGCCTTCCCTCTCTTCTCTCCTGCCTCCATTTTCCTTCCCTTTCTTTCCAGTCATGAGTCTAAAGGGTCAGTGCCGGGAACAGACAGGCCCAGGCAGCAGAGATGGGCCGTCCCCTCCCGGGCTGCTTGCAGGCGCTGGGGTTCCACTGCGTTCCTCTTCCGAGTTGTGGAGAGAGGCCTCCCCTGTAGGCTTGGCCAGGCCTGGTAGGTTTTTTGTTTGGTTTCCCATAAATCACCTTCCCAAACCGAGATCTGCTTCTTTGAGCTGATAAATATCTTCGTCTTGTGTGCCCAAGTTCAAAACCACCACCCTAGCAATGAAAACACACTTGTTTTCACCCGTTTCTATATGGGGTCACTTTTATGTATATTTTAGAGGCACAGTTTTTCCCCTCGTAGATCCTAACAGACAGACTCATTCCTGCAGAAGGTCCCATTGTCCTCCACGGGTAGACGGGATGCAGCACGCATGTGTGTGTCCACATTAGATACAGAATTGAATCACAGTAGTGCAAGTTTAATGACAGAGGGAGAGAATAAAACCCTTTAAAATGCTTTGCCTGATCAAAATTTCTAGGCCCCATACTTCATATTTGTTAATCCTCCTGGGAGAAAAGTGCTATGGTAATGGCTAAAGCATGCTGAGTTTAGCCTCTCTTTATTGAAAAGGAATTTTTTTTAAAGGAGTTTAATTTGAACAGCAGCTTCTGCCAGTCTCGCTGTAATTACAGCCTTCCATTTCGACTGCAAGTTGTATCAAGCTCGGGAGAGCCATAGGGTGATGTGAGGGCTGGAGAGAGACAGGCAGGGAAGCCTTCTTTCTGGGAGGATTTCTATTGCTTTTATATAGAGATATATTCTTTTTTTCTAAGCCTTCACTTAAAATACAGGGTGAACAGTCAGATTGTCAGAGCAGGGCTTGGCGTGAAAGCCTCTTATTATTAATTTTTTTTTCCATGACAAACTGCCTCTGGGTTTTTGTTGTGTTGGTTTCCTGCCCTCCCCACGCCCCTGCTGGGATATGAGAATCAAAGCTCATCCCACAAATGGAGAGAAGAGGCAGGTCACAGATCAGCATGCTGGTGGATTCCTCCCACTGTCCCCAGGATGTGCCAGTCAGTTTGTCCACCCTGCCTCTCCCAGCCCCGTCCCCTCCTAAGGGGTGTCTCAGGACCCGGCAGCCTACACTCAGCATTGGATGATTCATGATCCATCCACTGGAGCCAGACATCTGCCAACCCTCATCCTCCGGCCCCAGCGCCGTGGGAACATCCTCTGTCTTGATCCTGCACCTACGTGGGTACAGAACTCAAAAAGCATCCCCTCCCGCGATAGCAGGAGTGAGCAATTGGTGAGAATTTACAGATCTCATAGGGGAGACAGTTACAGGGGATCACGCCACAGCAAACTACTTCAGGATGCATTTTAGATGTTTTGTTTCTCGGCCGGGAGCGTTGGCTCATGCCTGTAATCTCAGCACTTTGGGAAGCTGAGGGGCGTATATCACCTGAGGTCAGGAATTCCAGACCAGCCTGGCCAACATGGCAAAACCCTGTCTCCACTAAAAATACAAAAATTACAGGTATGGTAGCGCGTGCCTGTAATCCCAGCTACTCGGGAGGCTGAGGCATTAGAATCGCTTGAACTGGGGAGGCGGAGGTTGCAGTGAGCTGAGATCACACCACTGCACTCTAGCCTGGGCGACAGGGTGAGACTCCATCTTAAAAAAAAAAAAAAAAGATGTTTTGTTTCTCTAAAGTCTTTTCTCTGAGTGTGTTTCTACTCCCTGTCCTCAGAAAGTACCTAACCTTGGTGGCTGTCCTCTCTTCTTTTATGCAGAGCAAAATGCTTTGTCTCAGCTCCTGGACTTGCACAAAAACCCAATATGGACCACAGGACAACACAGAGCTACTGGGTGAACCAGATCCGCTTTCCATAAAAGGCAGTTTTATGATTATCTTTGATATAGAAATAGGTCACTCAGCATCAGGGATGGATCAAAATATTTCTCTCCTCTGCCTAAGAGCAATAATTGAATGAACAGCTCTTCTTTGTTATTGAGGTTTTAATCGGTAAAACCTTTCATTGACAAAGCATTGAGGTTTTGTCAATGTTACGTCGCATTTAACACTCATTAGATGCCCTCCCTCTGAATCCGCATCTCCCACTGTCTTTAATTAGTTCAGGAAGTTCCTTGCAGTCCCCTCACTGCTAGCACTGGTCTGGTGGAGACAGAACTGGAAGGGAGACCACCTGGGGGAAGCAAGAGGAGCTGCAAAGACACAAATGGGCCCTAACTGCTCTGCCCTCCTGCCTGGCTCGACAGTCTTCCTATTGCTTCAAGAAAAGTCCGCACCTCTCAGCATGGTGTGCAAGGCCCCCCGCAGTCTGACGTCCATGGAGCTTCTGAACCTCCCCTCCTGCCCCTTTTCTTCTCTTCAGCCAGCTGGGTATGCACTTACCTCAAACAGGGATTCCCACATAATGCTGGTCATGGGTGTTCTTCAATAGAGTTCCTTAAATTGTTGATCTCTAGGGCGCTCCAGGGCCTTGTAACTGGAGACCACTCCCCTTCTCACAGCAAAAGTGAACCCACCTTTGCTATTACCCTACTGTACATGGGAGGGTGTAACTGACATGAGAGGGTGGAATCCTGAGTTGGACCTCAGACTCCCAGTCCTAGGACGAGGGTGGAGCCCCCCTGTCCCCACCATGTTTGGGGGAGCTACTAACCTCTCTCACGTACCATTCTTGGAGGGCAAAGTATGGGATGCTGTTGGAGTCTTGTCGCCTGGGCTCTGTTCTCTGAGTTCTTCCCCACCTGCTGCGCAGAGCTGGAAACTGCAGTCCTACTTGCCAGGCTCTGAGAAGGTGTGCACCAGTAGCCATAGGGACTGGCTGTTGATTCAAGCAGGTTGCTGGAAATAATGGGCTGACACCTGGAATGGGGTAGGATTTGTCCCACTAACCTGGTCCACTTTGCCAGGCCTTGAGGGTGGGGCACAACTTCTCTCATGCCACCTCGGGAATTCATGGCTCATGACAAGCACCTGAGAGAGGCTCTGTCGTCACCTTGCGTCCAACGCCTGGCACTGTCCAGTCCTGCAGTAAGATGTGTGTGAGATGTGGCTTGGACAGCACCAGGAAGGAGCATGAACTTATTACCTGATTGATATGGTTTGGCTGTGTCCCCACCCAAATCTCATATTGAATTGCAGCTCCCATAATTCCCATGTGTTGTGGGAGCGACCTGGTGGGAGATCATTGAATCATGTGGGAGGTTTCCCCCATACTGTTATTGGGGTAGTGAAGAAGTCTCATGAGATCTGATAGTTTTGTAAGGGGAAACCCCTTTCGCTTGGTTTTCATTCTCTCTTCCCTGCCACCACGTAAATGTGCCTTTCGCCTTCCGCCGTGATTGTGAGGTCTCCCCAGCCATGTGGAACTATGAGTCCATTAAACCTCTTTTTCTTTATAAATTACCCAGTCTTGGTTATGGATTTATCAGCAGCGTGAGAACAGACTAATGCACTGATACCTGGCATGGCTGGGAGGGATGCCTTCCTGTCTTGAATTTGCACTTGTATCACCTCTGGCCCCACCAGCCAGGGGGTTGGGGCCAAGAGCCCAGGGGCAGCTTTGGTCCTCAGTGAAGGCTGGCCCAGAGGCTCTAATCTATGACCCTAACCTATTTTCTGACTGAACCACATCTTCACCACTGAGAAATATTCCACAGGACATACGCAGCCCATCTTTTCTACCGTCCCGCTGGACAGTAGTAACTGACATGGGAGGGTGAAGCCTTGAGTTGGACATCAGGCTCCGTGTCCTAGGAGGAGGGTGGACCCCCCATCCCCACTCTGTTTGCGGCAGCTGCTAACGTCTATCTCTGTAACTATTTCTTTTTTCATCCCTAAGACTTGAGCTTTCAGCAGTATTCTCTTTCTTTAAAATTTCTATGGCCTCCACTTTCTCCTCTTCCTCTGGGGCTAATCACGAAGCTTCTGGAAGTCCCTCAGGCTGTTCATGGAGCCTGAGGTTGTTTGTGAACTGTCAGTTTTTCCAAGCAGACTTCTGGCTGTGTCGTGCTAGGCTTCCTGACGTCTTTGCCTCCTTCTCCACTGCCTTGCCACAGCTCCCTCCAATGTCACTCTTGCTCATGGGTCTCTTCACCCCCTTTTCTCCAGGCACTGAGAAACTTAAACTCTTCCCAAATCCTCCCAGAACTCTTTATTCTAACAGAGCTGCCTCTTCTTTCAGGAAGCTATCTGATACGGACAATGTTTGTGTTCCTTCAAAGTTCATTTGTTGAAGCTTTAACCCCCAAGGTGATGGTATTTGGAGGTGGGGCATTTGGCAGGTGATTGGGTCCTGACAGTGGAGCCCTGATCAATGGGATTAGTGCCCTTATCAGAGACACAAGAGAGATGATCTCTCTCTCCATCGTATGAGGCTATAGCAAGAAGGTGGCATCTGTAAACCAGGAAGAGAGCCCTCACTAGGAACTGAATCAGCTGGCACCTTATCTTGGACTTCCCAGCCTTCAGAACCATGATATATAAATGTTGTGTAAGCCACTGGTTTGTGGTATTCTGTTATAGCTCTCCAAGCTAAGACATCATCTATGTTTGAACATTTTGTGCCAGAGCTGGGCACTGTGGTGCATTCCTGGAATCTCAGCACTTTGGGAGGCTGAGACAAGAGGACTACATGAGGCCAGGAGTTTGAGATCAGCCTGGGCAACATAGTGAGACCCCTGTCTTTACAAAGAAAAAAAAAACTATTAGCCTGGCATGATGGCATACTTGTAGTTCCAGCTATTTGAGAGGCTGAAGTGGGAGGATCTCTTGAGCCCAGGAATTTGAATCCAGGATGGGCAACATAGCAAGATCTCCTCTTTATAAAAAAAGAGAAGGAAGAAAAGAAAAGTTTGTGCCAGAAGAGGAGTGCTCATACCCACCTTCTAAGAACATTCCAGAGCCAAGTTCCCAGCTGCCCATTCCAAGTCCTTCTTGCTTTGAGAGGCGATTCCAATCTCCATAACCATGGCTCTGGATGCCAAACAGCTCTGCAGTGTGGAAGGACTCAGCTCTGACTCCGTGGGACCCTAGATGTGATTCAGCCATAGCTTTGCTTCAAGGTTTAGAGATCCAAGACGGTAACCTTTCCCCCTTTTCTTCTATAACCCATGCAACAGGCTCCATATCTTTTTGCCCAGGATGTGAGCTAAGAGTGGGAGGAGAGAGCCTAAAGGACTCTCTCTTACTATTTTTTCAGCCATTGAAGGGGGCTCATAGCCCATGCTAAACATGATTTTCTTGCCTGGGTTCCCTGGGAGCTGGGGTTGGGGCTTAGTCTATGCTTGTAGCTGGTGACCAGCTTGGCCACTATCCCCTTAAAGTAAACATACACATGAGCACAGGAGAGACCAGGGTGTTCACATAGATGGTAAGGTCTTTGGTGAGAAGTCAGAGCTTCAGAGGGAGGGGTGAGAAGAGAAAAGTCAGGCAATAGACACTCCTCCCATGCCTAGTCCTGGTCTAGTGACCTCGTGTCCCTTTTACTCTCTGAGAGCATGGCCGTCTGGGCTCAGGCCTTTGGGATGGCCCCGGGGAGGACACTCCTGGCCCGGCGCGTTGTGCCCTCTCTGCCTTACTGTTTCCTTCCCACCCAGTTTTTCCGCCCTTTGAACTCCTTCCTTTTCCCTGACTCCCCTTCTCCTCTGCTCCACCTCCACCCTCAGACTGCCCTAGAATTTGAGAAGTTTCTAGTTTCTTCTGCTGTTTTGTAAGCTTTCTTCACCTCTGGAGACAGTCACGAGCCAGGTACACCATCCATTCTGCTGCCTGGTGGATGACAGGGGTGGCGGTGGGGATTTTCCGCTCTCAGTTGCAATTGCCCTTTTTCCCCCTTGATTTACTTTAAGTTCCTAACATCAGTCAGATACATCTTACATTGAAAGGGGTCATTTCTGCCAAAAGTCCTCATCGGTTTTACGTTTGAGATTCAGAGCCTCCCTGCTGGCCTAATACCAACCTTATTATGCAATAGGAAGTCCTCCACAGCCCCCGCCCCCAGCACTGCCTTCTGACTGGGTTACCTCGAAGCACCTTCATCCACTGAGTCAGCTCTAAGGGGCCTCAGGCCCAGCGTCTCTCTGGCCACAGGAGAGGGGTGAGAATGGGGGCTTGGTTGCACTGCCACGCGTGAGATTGGAGGCCAGGTACGGTGGCGCACACCTGCAATCCTAGCACTTTGGGAGGCTGAGGTGGGAGGATTACTTGACGCTGAGAGTTTAAGACCAGCCTGGGCAACGTAGCAAGACTCTGTCTCTATAAAATGCAAAAACTATCTGGGCATAGTGGTGCATGTCTGTAGTCTTTCCTACTCAGGAGGCTGAGGCAGGAGGGTCACTTGATCCTGGGAGGTTGAGGCTGCAGTGAGCTGTGATCACACCATTGCACTCCAGCCTGAGTGACAGCATGAGATCCTCCCTGTCTTAAAAAAAAAAAAAAAACTGGAGATGACTGAGAGGTGGTCTTTTCAGAGACCTGTCATTTTACAGACAAGAAGCCTGAGGCTTTGAGAGGTTAGGTGACTTGCTGAATCCCATTGTCAACAAAGGCATGGCAGAATTGGGGGTGGAATTGATCTCCTCTTGGAGGTTGCAGATTGATGCACACTTCCTGGGCTGCCTTGGAGGCATGGGTTGAGGTGGAGTCCAGCCTTCAATGGCCCTTGCCATTGGCTCCTGGCCTCCACTCCGATACTTCACTGGGACAGATGTCATCTCCAGAGGCGGCCCACACACGTTTGCTGAACACGTCTTTCCTTCATGGAAATGCAATTAGTCTCTCTGTGGTTTCCACCCTGAGGTCCTGGTTCTTCCTCTCAGAGTCAGCACCCTCCTGCCTTGATAGCAGTGGTCCTGGGAAGTGGCCGTCTGTCTCTCTGCCTTCTCTCCTCCCTGTCCCCCTCCCTCGTGGGAAGCCTCAGGGCTCTGCACATATGCTCCGGGGGTGCCCCCGTCTAAATAGGAGAAGCACACTGCTTTCTCTGTGCCTCCCACCGGATGCATGGGAGCTTTTCCCACACCCGCACATTCTCCAACTCTCTGGACCCCACCTGGGTGTCTTCAATGCAGCTATGACACTGACCAGCTGGATTAGTGCGGGCCCCACAGGCGAAGGGCTCAGTGCCACAAGACTGCCCCCCCATGCTGTGTCAGACGCCTGTCATAGCAGTGGGCCCCCAGGTCACCCACACTTCTATTTGACTTGGCTACAAATCAGGGGTTCCCATAACCCCATCCTCAGGTTGAATCATTTGCTATGATGACTCACAGAATGCAGAAAACTTTGACTGGTTTCTTATGAAAGAAATGATAGAGGATGCCAATGGGCAGCCAGATGAAGAGTGCACAGGATGAGGTCCGGAAGGGTCCCGGGCACAGGAGCTTCTTCCCTGTGGAGTTGGGGTCTCCCCCGTGGAGTTGGGGTCTCCCACCTTGCTGGCTGGTGGGAATGCTCACCAACCCAGAGGCTCTCCAAACCTCGTCTTCTAGGGATTTTGTGAGGCTTAGGCATGATGGATTATTTTCTTGGAGTGGGACAGGGTCTCTCTGTGGTCCAGGCTGGAGCACAGTGGTGCAGTCACAACTTGGTGCAGCCTTGACCTCTGGGGCTCAAACAATCTTCCTCCTTCAGCCTCCCCAGTCCCTGGGTCTGCAGGCATGTGCCATCATGCCTAGATAAGTTTCCATTTTTTTGTAGAGATGGGTTTTACTAGGTTGTCCAGGCTGGTCTCAAACTCCTGGGCTCAAGTGGTCTTCCCATGTTAGCCTCCCAAAGTGCTGGCATTACAGGCGTGAGTGTGATGCACCTCGCTGGCATTCTCTATTATTAACTCAATCTCCAGCCCTTCTCCCCTCCCCGAGGATGGGCGTGGAAGCTTGAAAGTTCCAAGCTTCTAATCCTGGCTTGATCTTTCTGGCGACCAGCCCCCACCCAGGAGCCCACCAAGAATTGCTCATTAGAACAAAAGATGCTCCTATCCTCCCAAAGGGTTTAGGAGCTCTGTGTCAGATACTGGGGTCAAAGACCAAATATTAGAACCAGGGATGTGCTTAGTACTTCTGACATTCAGGAAATTTTAAGGGTTTTAGCAGTTCTGTGCCAGGAACCAGGGACAGAGACCAAAGATGGATTTGTTTTGGTGATACATCTTCTGTGTCCATTTGTGGGGCTGAGATCCAGGTGTTGTCTGGCGGGCTCAGAGCACACCGGATTGCATGAGTCCCTTCGGTGGGCACATTGCCTTGCCCTCTGCTTTCAGGCAGCCCATGTGTGGCTGAGCAGGAAAGAGGCCACAGCGCTGGAAGCCTGACGTAGGGAGCTGTCACCACCTGCCACCGCAGCCCCCCAAGCTGCTCCTGCCAGGCCAGGAGTGCAGCCAGCCAGGGAGCGAGGCCGGAGCCAAACAAAGATGCAGATGCTGCTGCCGGAAGCAGGAGAGGAAGCCGCGGCCAGTGCTTGGCATCCCGATTGGCATCTCGGCCAGCGGGGCTCCGGGGAGGAGTGCTGGGCAGTGGATGGCTCATGAAACAGACAGATAAAGAGGTTGTGAGTGGATGGCTCTCCACACGGCCATTGACAGGCAAAGATGGCACCGAGCGGCTATCTCAATTGCGCGGCCAGGGCACTTTGCCATCTGGGGCTCAGGCTCCAGAGGTGGCCAGCAGCACGGTTCCCACAAAAGGTGGAGCCGTTGGAATTTCTGGTTGGAAAGCCAGTTTTTGAAGGATGATTTCTCGGCTCCTCTAATTAATGAGAAGCAGAGATTTCAGGTTGGCAAATGGAGCTCCCTCCGGCCGGATGCACGTTTTCGTGCTCTCTTGCTGCCTTCAAGTCCTTAGAAAATGTTTGGGGGAAAAAGCCTTTAAATAGGCTCCAATTTTCTAATTTAATGGGAAAGTATCGGGCTGAATGGAGGGGCTCCAAAGAGGCCCCCAGCCCCACCTTTGGGCAGCACCCAGGCTAGACTCTCTCCTCTGGTTTTCCAGCCTGCAATCATTTTAAACCCTGGGTAGATTATTTCCCTGCTCTCGGAAATCCCATAGTGCTCCCAAGTCCCAGTAGAGTAGAATCTAAATGACCTACGTTGGCATCTAAGGTCCCTGTGGCATTCCTCTCTTCCAGGTCAAAACAATTCCAGTTTCTAAAGAGACATTTCCCAAGGGGACACAGTGTGCTCTTCCTCAAACCTCTAGGGGCTGGGTGGAGGCTGTGGGGACGACCTCCCGTGCTGCCATTGCGCTGGGGTCTGGGACACAGCCCCTCCCTGAATAGCTAACTCCCCTACTTGGCTTCCCTAGCAACCAGCCCTGCGTGGTTCATTTCCCATGGGCCCAAACGTCATGGAATGTCAGAGCTTCCTGTGGCCTGGTCACTCTATAAAGGAGCTGCTGAGGCCCAGAGAGGGCAAGGAGCGTGGTCCAGGTCACACAGCCAGTTGCTACTGAGCATAGACTTCCCTGCACTGGGAGAGTGGGGTCACATCCTGCCCCCCTGCTGTGGGTGCCTCTTGAATCTCTCTCAGTGCTGGGCACAGAGTGGCCTGTGTCACAAGTGCTGCTTGGTTGATCCATTTCCTCCTGACTTCTTTTGCTTGTCTCTTTTAACCCATTTATGTCTGAGGTTGCAATTTTTTGAATTTTTGCAATCAGACCTTGGCAATGACCTTGAGCAGTAGGATATAAATAACTACCACATGCTTAGCGTTCCAATAATGGAACACTAGGCATAAATGAGAAATGACACTGGCATGAGCGAATCTTGTTGGAAGAAAAGACCCTTGGAGAATGGGGAGAGGGTTTCTCGCCATCGCCCCAGTGGCCTTTGCCTCTCTTCTAGCTGATTCCAGAGACAATCCCAATACGGCCTGTCCAGAGGCCTGGCTGGCAGTGGGGCCTGCTTTCCGAAGTGTCCCTGGCTGCTGCTCTGGGGATCGTGGGTGGTCATCTCCCCCATAAGCAGGATGCATGGCCCCTCATCAGGCGGTGAATCCAAAGCTCGGCAGTCTGTGCTCCTTTGCAAAAAACCAGCTCTTCTGTGTCCTGTGGCCCCGTGGAGAGGGTTGCGCAGGGCCACGCTGGCAGTGACACTCTTGAAGCAGGAGGTGGCCCAGGATTCATGACCCTAATTACTCCTTTTCCAGGGTTGATCGTGGAGGTGGCAGGGACAGTGGGTTCCCTCTTTCCTTTCATGTGCTCCCCCAATAGGAGTTCTCACAAGGGGTTGATTTTGCACTCTCGTTAAAAGCAGCACAGGCTGGGCGCAGTGGCTCACGCCTGTAATCCCAGCACTTTGGGAGGCTGAGGCAGGCGGATCACAAAGTCAGGAGTTCAAGACCAGCCTGGCCAACATGATGAAACTCTGTCTCTACTAAAAATACAAAAAGTAGCTGGGTGTGGTGGTGCACACCTGTAATGCCAGCTACTGGGGAGGCTGAGGCAGGAGAATTACTTGAACCCGGGAGGCAGAGGTTGCAGTGAGCTGAGATCCCACCACCGTACTCCAGCCTGGGCCACAGAGTGAGACTCTCTCTCAAAAAAAACAAAACAAAAACAAAACCAAAAAAAAGGAACACATTAGAGCCAACGAGGTCTGGGGGAAGAATCTACTGACCTGGGGCCCCCTGGGAAACTAGGCATGTGTGTGTGGGAAGCCTACAGGCCGAGTGAGAGCTCTGGGGTCTGTGTTCTAGGCCCAGGCATGTCTCTGACTTTTTGTGGGATCTTGGACAAGTGGTTTGACTTCTTTGATTCTCAGCTTATTCGTTTGTGATAATCTGTGTTTCTATCCTGGCTATACAGGAACTGCCAGAGTGATGTGGGAGCACTCGTTCTAATAACAGATTCTACTTTGTGCTCAATTTGGGCCAGGACCTTTAATACAGCACTGCTAAGAGTTACCACTCTTGTCAACCCCACTTAATAAACAAGGAACCTACAGCTCAGAGAGGTTCAGTAATTTGTCCAAGGATGCACAGCTAGTGCATGCAGAGCTGGATCTGAGTCCACAGCAAGGGCTCCTAACACTGGGTTACACTGCCTTTGAGAACTTCAGCTTGCAGCTCTTCCATTTTCCAAAGCAGTAACATGGGGCAATAGTACCGGTTTCCATCCTCCCCCACACAGATGCTCTGAGGCCTCAGTGGACTTAAAGACTCTGGCAAAAATTCCAAATATCCTCAGTTTTCCCAGCCTCAATGATGATTCCTCTGCCATCGGGTTACCTGGCAGGGATGGAGCATGGCCCAGAGTGGAGGACAGTGGCCTGGGACCTGCTACCATCTCCGAGTTGGTCCCTGCATGGTTCTCGGTGAATGGAGGAAAACCCTTTAAAAGTCCCAGGGTTGGATTTCTTATCTGTAAAATCAGGAGGTTGAACTAGTTCAGGGGTTCTCAAGTCCAGCTGCACCTGAGAAACATTTAGGGGAGTTTTTAAAAGACATCAATGCCCAGGCCCACCCCAGACCAATCGACTCGGCCCACGGGGCTGCTCCCACCTTCTCACAGCTCCTGGGAGTGAGGAATGTGATGTGCACCCCAGCCTGGAACCCCCAGCCCAGGCAATCCCCAGGGCCTCCCTCCACCTCTGAACGTCTATGTCATTAGAATGCATTTGAGTGTCTACTCTCATTCCAGACTTGAACTAATTTGTACGATCCAACCTCACATTGAATTAAAATCAACTTTGAGGCCAGGCACAGTGGCTTACACCTGTAATCCCAGCACTTTGGGAGGCCGAGGCAGGCAGATCACTTGAGGCTGGGAGTTTGAGACCAGGCTGGCCAACATGGTGAAACTCTGTCTGTACTAAAAATACAAAAAGTAGCCAGGTGTGGTGGCGGACACCTGTAATCCCAGCTACTCGGGAGGCTGAGGTGGGAGGATTGCTTAAACCCAGGAGGTGGAGGTTGCAGTGAGTCGAGATCACACCACTGCACTCCAGCCTGGGCAACAGAGTGAGTGAAACTCCGTCTCAAAAAAAAAAGAAAAAGAAAAAGGAAAAAAAATCAACTTTGAGAGTGGAATGGTGGAGGCGGAGTGACTATAACACAAAAGCCAGGGCTTGGGGTCAGGGGATTTTTAGTCTATTCTTGGTCCTGGAGATTTTTATTTAATTCTTGGCCTTGGCAAATGGAGACACCAGTTTCCCTCTCACGTCATCTCCTCATCTGTTAGCACGCTGCCTCCTCAACAGATTCGCAGCTGCATGCCCTGCGTGGGCTGGCTCTGATTTCCCCAGCCCGCCGACGTGGAGATGCCTCCCTTCCCTGACCCCTTACCCTCCGTCTCTTTAGCAACTCATGCTACCATTATGGCTGCAATGAATCGAAAATCTGCAAGAGATTTTTTTTTTTTTTGAAAAGCAATTCATGACACCTCATGAAGAAATGAGTCCCCCTGGAATATTCTGTCCCATTATTTCCAACCCTTGGGCACATGCACCCTAATGGAGAGGAATATTTCACAGATTGGCAGAAATGCACAAATAAGAGCTTTGGAGTCCAAAGGCTTGTGCTCAGATCCATATCTGCCATTGACTAGCCATGGGACCTTTGGGATGAGACTTACACTTCTGAAACCTCTGTCTGCTCTCCATAGAATGGGGATGAAATGATCTACCTTGCAAGGAGTTTATGAGAAGACAGTGATGGACATGCAGTGTCTCCAGCCTTGATGACTCAGGAGGAGGAGATGGAACAGCTCCCCTCAAAAGCTCTCAGGGGAGGTCACAGCTGTGTCCTCATCTGGTCTCAGTGTCCTCAGTGGGAGAGTAAAACAGGTGTAATGTCTCCAGGTGTGACATGATGAATGATGTCTTGTTCTTGAAGCAGGTGGTAGGAATAATGGGTACAGCATTGCTGTGGGTGAATGTTTGTGTCCCCCTGAAATTCATACACTAAAATCCTTGCCCTCAAGGTGATGGAGGTAGAAGGAGGGTTTTTTGAGAGGTAACTAGGTAATGAGAGGGCAGAGCCTTCATGATGGGACTAGTGAGTTTATAAAAGAGGACCCAGGAAGCTGCCTCACCCTTGCCATCATATGAGGACACACTGAGAAGACCAGTATCCATGTGAGTCTTCACCAGACCCCAGATTTACTGGTGCCTTAATCTTGGGTTTCCCAGCCCAGCCACCAGAACTAGGAGAAATAAATTTCTGCTGTTCATAAGCCACAAGCCACCCAGTCTATGGCATTCTTTTTTTTTTGGAAGACAAGGTCTTGCATACTGCTCTGTCATCCAGGCTGGAGTTCAGTGGCAATTCACAGGTGTGATCATAGCTCACTGCAACCTCGAACTCCTGGGCTCAAGCGATCCTCCCATCTCAGCCTCCTAAGTAGCTGGGACCACAGGTGCATGCCACCACACCTGGCTGGTATTCTGTGATAGCAGCTTGAACACACTAGGACAAGCATGATTTGAGGAGAAAAGTCTCCACATTGGTTTTCTGTGTGATTTTCAGCCATTTATACAACAAATATTTATCGAGAGCCTACTTTGTACCCGGCGCTCCTCCAAGTCAGGGGTTAGCATGCTTTTTCTGTAAGGGGCCAGGTGGTAAGTATTTAGGGTGTTGGCCGTATGGTATCCATCACAAAACTCTGCTGCCATTGTAATGCAAAGCAGCCACGGACACCACGTAAACAAGTGAGTGTGGCTTCCTTCAACAAGATTTTGTTTATGAAAATAGGCTGCAAGCCTGCGCAGTGGTGCATGCCTATAGTCCCAGCTGCTTGGGAGGCTGATCTGGGGAGGATCCTGCCCTAGAAACCTCCCCAAGAACCACTGTGCTCCTCTTCCCACAAGGACTGAGTTCTCATTTTGTGCCGTTTTGGCACATTTGCTCGTCACCATCTCTGCCTCTCTCCCTGTGTCTCTGCGCCAAGTCTTAGAGGGCGGGATCCATGTCTTCCACTCCTCTGGGCCTAGGAATTTGAGACCAGCCTGGGCAACATAGCAAGACTCTGTCTCTTTAAACTAAAACCCCGCGAACAGGCTACAGGCCAGATTTGACCTCCAGGTGGAGTTTGCTAACTCTTGCTCTAGATGCCTGGGACCTATCAGGGAATAAAAACTAAAACCAAGCTCAATTAGCCAGTCTCTGTGGAATTTATATTCAAGTGGGGGAAGGCAGACAATAAACAGTAATATAATTAATATGTAAATTTCTGCATCTGTGAGAAGGTGAGATCGTGGTATAGAGAAACACAGCAGGGTTCAGCAGCGTGTGCTGGTGCCCGCTGTATGCATCTCTTTGCGGTGAGCTCATGTTGGTCACTGGAAATCTGCCGTGATGGGTGATGGGACTGCTTACCCCAGAGAGATCAGCCGTGGCTATGCCTCAGGGCTCCCTGCTGGGAGCTGGTTGTTAAACATTCACCAGCACATCACTGCTATCAGGGGATGCGGAGTGCTGTGTTTTAATTTTTGGAAGATGGGTCTGGGTAGGTCTTCTTGAGAAGGTGACATCTGAACAAAGGAGGATCTGAACAAAGGAGGATCTGAACAAAGGATGATTGAAGGAGGTTGGGGTGAGCCCGTGGCTTCCGGGGGAAAGGGTGTTCCCTGTGGAGGGAGCAGTGGCGGTGGGAGGTGCTGGACTGCTGGAGGAGCAGCAAGGACGGGGGCGGGAGACCAGGACAGCGCATGGTGCAGACCAGGTGACACCCTGGCAGGAGGGGAGGCGGGGAGTCTGCTCAGAGGCTATGGCAGGAGTCCAGGCATGAAATGATGGCTACTCTGTGCACAGTGGTAACAGTAGCAGCACCAGTGTGACA